>NC_000007.14:84931021-85234051 GCF_000001405.40 Homo sapiens
TCTTCCAGGCTGTAACCTCCTTCATTGTATTGTCCATCCATCAGGTAACTTCTTTTTTTTTTTTTTTTTTTTTTTTGAGACAGAGTCTTGCTCTGTCCCCCAGGCTGGAGTGCAGTGGTGCGGTCTCGGCTCACTGCAACCTCCACCTCCTGGGTTCAAGCTATTCTCCTGCCTCAGCCTCCCGAGTAGCTGGGACTACAGGTGCATGCCACCACGTCCAGCTAATTTTTGGTATTTTTAGTAGAGACAGGTTTCACCGTGTTAGCCAGGATGGCCTCGATTTCCTGACCTTGTGATCCGCCCTTCTCGGCCTCCCAGAGTACTGAGATTACAGACGTGAGACACTGAGACAAGGCCAACTTGTCTTGTTTTATTACAAATGTATTGATATATCTTGTCTACTAATACTCAGTTGCCATTCTGTACATTGTTGAAGGTTTATTTGTAATAAATGTCTTTGAAGGTAAATAATGGATGTGATCAGTCTACCACTGTATCTAGATATATTCTCACAGACATTATAAAATAATTTATATAATTTTTAAAATTAGAATAAACTGCTCTGATATTAAGTTTTTAAGTGAATATTTAATGCTTCTTGACATTGAAAAGTATGTTGTGGAAATAAAGACCACCAAATGAAAACAAATGAAGACTAATTATTCAGAGCTTTCTATCATAAGGGAATCAGCCACCATCACTTGGACTTGTCAGAGACTCAAGGGATTTACCAGACAGGGAAGCTTTGTAGTGAAGAAGAAAAAAAAAACAAAAAAAGCTTTAGATATGCTCTGATTGGAGATTGTTGGCATGGGGAAGCTGGAAGTGGATTAACTAGAAGTGGGGCATCCTGTCACTTGGTATAGGGAGTGTATTTGACTTTCACTTGTTTATCCTGAGTTGGGAGCAGGGGAAAAATTTAGGGAAGCTGACAGTCATTGAAGAAAAGCTGTTTACTCTGGGATGAGTGCTGCAGAGGTCTGGTTCGCCACAGGTTGGCTCAGATTATGGGTCAAAGTTTTATTGTCATTTATGCCCTGGCTATTGCCCATTGTACATTCAATTTCTCCATATACAAAGAGTAAGATGTTTTTTCAGTAAAAATTTGGTCAAAATATTTCTTTCAAAGCTTATATCAACAAGTAGTGAACTGAATACATGAACCATTACACATTGCAGAGAATCCCACAACCCACCTTCCCACACAGTAATTTTTTTGAAATTTTCCTTCTAAACTAAAATGAATGAAAGGCTAATAACTATTCAAATATTACTTATAGTTAAAGCAAAGTTCCCAGTATGTTATTGCATTACATTAAACAACCTTAGCTTTTTAAGTTGATAAGTAATATTTGATTTTATTTTGTAAATATTTGATAGATTGAAAATGTCCCAAACCCATTAAGCCTGCACAGGAAGTCAAATCATTGGCTTTCAAATTTTGTTGTGCTTTTTTTTTCATTATTCTTTGCTATTCCACCTCACCAAAACTCGTATAATGCCTCCTCATTTTTGTCTGCTATATTGACAGTGTGTTCATCATCCATGCCCAAATCCATTTATTACATTGTCACTGAGTACTTTTTAAAAAATGCTGATTTATTTAAGTCAGAATAACTGTCAATTAATGTCAAACTTGGTATTGTGCCAAGACATATAACGAGAAATAAAATATTGCCTGTTTGTAATAATCTCCTAAGTAAGCTGAGAATATTGAATTAAATATAAATTAGTTTGACAATTTGGCCTTAATTTAGCAAGAAGACACCTTTCAATAGTAAAGTATGAAGAGAAATAATACTTTATAAATGATGGCTTTCTCATGGTTTGTTGATTCTAATTTTATTTATTATGACTTACAGAAAACATTTTGTAAATACTGATGACATTTTGCATTTACCTCTTATTAACTTATGTAACAACTGCCTTTTATCATGGGATGGGGGGACTACCAGACTAATATGATAAAATTAAAATATAGAGAAAAAAGATACAGAACAGGTAGCAATCATCTTTTTACTACCCCCACCCAATATATGCTATAGATGCTATAGAACATGCCACATTCTTGATTACAGGGTCTTTAACCATAGTTCCTACTGTCTGGGCAATGATCTACATGAAACTGACCTATATCCTGCCCTGGGTTACAATTGGCTGGACTCATGTTCATTCCTGACACTAGGCCAATCAGTTCTCTCCCATGGGAATTTTTAGATCAGAAATTAAGAATTATAGTTAGTGTCTGTTGCAGAATAAAAGGAAAATTATATATGGTAATCCAGTGTATGTAGAAAAAAACAGTTGGCAAATTCCATTTTTATTCTTGACAAAAACTTTCAGTAAACTAGAAATAGAAAAATATTTTCTCAATCTGATGAAGAGCATCAAAAATAAAAATAAACAGAGTTAACATCATCATTAATGATAAAACACTGAAACCAACAAAATATTATTCACTTACATTCTTCTTTGCACTGACATTTTAGGCAGGAAAATATAGAAGGTGGAGGGAAATCAAAGAAGAAAATGGATTGAAAAAGAAAGAGTAAAATTTTTACCAAAGGTACAGAAGGAGCTATATTATATTTGAGTGTTCTATTTTTTAAACTGGTTGGCAGATACAAAAAGTTGGTTTTCTTATTATACTTTAATGTATACATGTAATATTATAAACTCTTTAAAATTAATGTATGTTTTAAAAATAATATATAATCCAAGTGAACCAAATCAACAGAGTACTCAATTTGGATAAAGTTATGATAATAACCTTAGATTAAGATAATTACTTATTTTAGGGAGGTAAGCATTAAATTTCATTGTAATGACCACATGTGAAACTTCAGCTCCATACAGAAGGTGAGATTTCGTTTGTTCTATCTGGTACTCAGACAATAAAGTAACTGGAGGAGCTCACACTTCTTTCTGTTTTACAAATTCCCAAATGAAAAATTTCAATCCAAATGTCTACATTTCATACCTCTCATCTACTCCATAATTTCAGAAAGGAAGACTTGGCAAGTTGGAAATATCAAGGGAATACTGTTTAAGAAACTGGTGCCTCCTTCAGTATGTCGCTTAACAGTATGCAAATGATTTTACAGTAATACCACCAGGCCTCTCAGAGTTCACAATTTCCATTCTTTCATCTGAAAGTACACCACAGCTCTGCTAACAGTTTACACTAGTCTTCAAAATAGACTGGGATAGACTTTCTTTTTCTTTTTTCTTTTTTTCTTTTTGAGCCTAGCTGCTACAGAAAAGATAGACTTTAATAACCAGTATTTTAGAAAGCTTTACCACAAATTCTGTTCTTAGGTACATTTAGGTAAACAGTGTGATTTAAGGGGCACAAAGGAACTCACCCCCCAAAATGACATTTTTACTTCAGTTTAAATAAATGTGAAATATCCATTGGTACTACCAATGTGCTTAAAAACTTCATTGTACCCTTTAGTTTCAAGAAGAATAAATCTAGAGAAATTGAAGCTGAAAGAGATATGTAAAGGAAAGACAGAGAGAGAAATAGAGATTACCAAAGAAAGAGTGAAAGGGAAGGAGGGACGGAATGCTAGAAAGACAAAGGAAGCAAAAGGAAATCAGAGAGAGAGAGAGACAGAAAGAGAGAGGGAGAGAGAGAGTTTCAGATACCAAGAGAGTAAAACTGAGAGAGAACAAGAAAGTACAAGAGAGCACTAGGAAAGAAACTTTTCTTGGTAGACACATATGCACATATGGTATGTATATATGGTAGACACAGAAAAGAAACTTTATATGTAGTATCTTGTTAAACAAACATACAAAATGAAAGCCAGGCATGGAAATAATTGAAAGTAAATAAGAAGCTTATTCTATCTATTTCCTGGATAAGAGAGACTCTCATCTTTATCTTCCTGAAGATACTTGCTATATTTTGTTTTTCTCCTTACAGATTGACTTCTTTTTATTCATCCACTCACAAATGGACATCAAAACAATGCTGCTTTTAATACATGATTCTCCTTGACTGTTTTTTCCATTGTGCTCTGCAAAGCTAGTTAATTCCTTCTCTGATCCTTCAATCCTAATACCCAAAGAGTTAGTCTGATTGGCTAAACCTTAATCAATTCCCCACCCTGACCCAATTAGGCAAGGCTGCATAGGGGAAGGGTCTTATGATATAATAAGTCACAGATAAGACTGATTTTCTTAGAAGTGGGATATGAGATAGGCCATGACCTCAGAATTCACCTGGAGGAATGAATAAAGATGGTGGAACTTCGAGAAAATATAGAGAAACAATTGAATAAAATGAGAAAACCAATGAGTGATCAGAAAGAGAAATTTAATACATTGAAATAAGTTTTAAAAGCACAGAAGTTCTAGGCCCAGAAAATACAATGAATGAAATAAAATTACAATAGAGAAATTAAGTAGAGCAGGATTGACTGAATAGAAGAAAGAATATGTGAAACTCAAAGACAGATTATTTGAAAATACAGTCATGTGTCACTTAACAATGGGGATACATTCTGAGGTACGCATTGTTAGGTGATTTTGTTATTGTGCAAATATCATAGAGGGTACTTACACAAACCTAGATGGTATAGACTACTACAAACCTAGGCTATATGGTGTAGTCCATTGCTCCTAAGCTATAAACATGTACAGCATGTTATTGTACTGAATACTGTAGGCAATTGTAAACAATGGCAACTATTTGTGTCTAAACATAGAAAAGGTATAGTAAAAATATAATATAAGAGATAAAAAATGGTACACCTCTATAAGTCACTTACTGTGAGTAGAGCTTGCTGGAATGGAAGTTGCTCTGGGTGAGACATGAATGAGAAGTAAGTGAATGTGAAGAACATTATTATCAACTACTGTAGACTTTATAAAGAGTACATTTAGTCTATGCTGAGCATATTTTTTAAAAATGTCTTTCTTCAATAATAAATTAACTTTAACTTCCAACCTTTTTGTTATAAATTAAGTCACAAACACAAACATTGGCCTAGGACTACACAGAATCAGGATAATCAATATTACTCCTTCCACCTCCATATTTTGACACATTGTAAGATCATCAGAGGCAATGGAGCTATCATCTCCTATGAAAACAATTTCTTATTCTGGAGTACCTCATAAAAAACCTGCCTGAGGCTGTTTTATACATTTAACTTTTTTAAGTAAGTAGAACACGTGTACTCTATCAAAACTATAGTATAGCAAATACATAAAGAAGTAACATGATTGTTTATAATTATTATCAAGCATTATGTACAGTACATAATTGTATGTGCTATCCTTTTATACAATTAGCAGTACATTAGGTTTGTTTACACCAGAAACACCACAAATACGTATGTAATGCATTGCACTATGGTGTTATATGATGGCTATGATATCACTTAATTTTTCAGCTCCATTATATTTTTATGGGACCATTGTCATATATGCAATTCAAAATTGATAGAAATATTATGTGTGAATGACCGTATGAAGTCAGAAATACATATATGTATATATATTCTTGCCATTACTTTTTTTGCTTTTTTTTTTTTTTTTTTTGAGATGGAGTCTCACTCTGTTGCCCAGGCTAGAGTGCAGTGGTGTGATCTCAGCTCGCTGCTAGCTCCACCTCCCAGGTTCATGCCATTCTCCTGGCTCAGCCTCCTAAGTAGCTGGGACTGCAGGCGCCCACCACCACGCCCAGCTAATTTTGTTTTTGTATTTTTAGTAGAGACGAGGTTTCACCGTGTTAGCCAGGATGGTCTTGATTTCCTGACCTCGTGATCTGCCTGCCTCGGCCTCCCAAAGTGCTAAGATTACAGGCATGAGCCACCCTGCCCAGCCCTTGCCATTATTTTTAATGCCCAAAACCACAATTGCTATTGCACCAACTATATATATATATATATATATATATATATATATATATATGATTGAAGAAAGCTTATGGGATTTATAGGACAGCATCAAAAGAACAAATGCTTGAATCATAGAAGTGTAACAGTAAAAAAAGTAAAAATATACTTAGCTTATTTAAAGAAATAGTAGTAGAAAAATTTTCAAACCTGGAAAGATGTAACTATTCAAATACAAGAAGGTCATTAATCTTCAACCAGATTCAGTTCAAACAAGCCTAGCCAAAGACATATTATAATCAAACTGTCTACGGTAAATGACAAAGAGAAGATTCTGAAAGCAGCGAAGTATAAGAAGAAGCAATAGGAAGAAGGAGAAGGAGAAGGAGGAGGAGGAGGAGGAGGAGGAGGAGACACAGACTTTCCCAGACAAACCAAACCTGAAGGAGTTCCTCATCAACAGAATTGTCTTTTAAAAAATGCTAAAGAGAATTCTTGAAACTGAGTGAAAAAAATAATACACAAAAACATATGAATGTATAAAACTTATAAAAGTAAGTGTGCAGTCAAATTTAGAATATTCTAATACTCTAATGGTGGTATATAAAACACTTGTATCTTTAGTATGAAGATTAAAAGATAAAATTACTAAAAATAACAATAGCAACAATAATTTAAAGGATGTGTGATATGAAAATATTAATATAAATAAACTAGTAAAAACACTTAAATTGTGATAACAGAAATTAAAAATGTTGGGGTGAGGGAAGTTGAGTAAAAGTGTAGAAATTTTTTGTTTGTTTTCTCTGTGTGTGTGTGTGTGTGTGTGTGTGTGTGACCAAAGGTTAGTTGTTGTCAGCTTAAAATAACATGTTAAAACTACAACAGTTTTTTTGTAAGACTTGTGATAACCATAAAACAAAAATTATAATAGATACATAAAATATAAAAATCAAGGAATCAAAACATAACACTGGAGAAAAATCACTTAACCATAAAAGCAGACAACAAGAGAGGAAAAAAGACAAAAATGATCTATGAAACTACCAGAAAATAATTAACAAAATGGAACTAGTAAGTTTTTGCCTATTAATAGTTATCTTGAATGTAAATGGACCAAATTCTTCAATCAAAAGACAGAGAGTGGCTGAATGGATATAAAAACCAGACCCAACTATATTCTGCCTACAAGAGGCTCATGTTAAGTGTACATAAAAAAGTGAAAGGAGGCAAAAAAGTTATTCCATACAAATGGAAACTAAAAAACAGCAGGTGTGGCTATGCTTATATTAAATAAAATAGACTTTAAGTCAAACGCTGTAATATAAGACAAAGATGATTATGATATAATGATAAAGGGGTCAATTCTTCCACAGACTATGACAGTTATAAATAAATACATATCCACTGAACATCAGAACACCTAAATATGTGAAGAAAATATTAATATATCTAAGGAGAGAGATAGAATGCAAATGCAACAACAGAAGACTTCAAAACCCCTTTTTCATCAACGAACAGATCATTCAGAAAGTAAACCAACATCAAATCTAAACTATACACTGGACCAAATAGACTTAACAGACACATACCGAACCATTCCATCCAGCAGGTGCAGTGTACAAATTCTTCTGAACAGCACATAAAACATTCTTCAGTATAGATCACATTTTAGGCCACAAAACAAGTCCTATAAATTTAAAAAGACTGAAATTATATTAAGTATTTTTCCTGACTACAACAATATTAAACTAGAAATCAATAACAGGAGAATCTTAAAAAATTCATAAATACTTGGAAATTAAACAACATGTTACTGAACAACTAATCGGTCAATAAAGAAATTTAAAGGAAATTTTTAAATATTTATTGAGACAAATAAAATTGGAAACAATATACTAACACCTGTGGGACACAGCAAAAGAAATTCAAAGATGAAATTTTATAGGAATAAATACCTACATGAGAAAAGAAAAATGATCTCAAATAAACAACCTAACATTGCATCTCAAGGAACTAGAAAAACCAGAACAAACTAAGCCCAATGTGGGTAGAAGGAAGGAAATAATAAAGATCAGAGCAGAGATAAATGAAATAAATATTAGAAAAATAATACAAATATTAAAAAAACTAAGTTGGTTCTTTGAAAAGATAAACCAAATCAATAAACCTTTGGCCTAAGGAAAAAAAAGAGGACTCAAAAATACAAAATCAGTAACAAATAAGGAAACATTACAACTGATAGAACAGAAATGCAAAAGACCGTAAGACACTATTATGAGCAATTATGCACCAACAAATTGGATAACCTAGAAGAAATGAATAAATTTCTGATGCATACAACCTAACAAAATACATTATGATAAAATAGAAAATCTGAATAGAACAAGAAGAAGTAAGGAGATTGAATTAGTAAAAAATTTTCCATCAAGAAAAGGCCAGAGCTGGAGGGCTTCACTGCTGCTTTTTTTTTTTTTTTGCATTTAAATCTTTTAATTCACTTCATCCTGTATTTTAAAATAAATGTTTTCCATATAGACTTTCCCCCTTGGGGGGGAAAAAAAATTCAGGATCTTAGGTTCCAGGCAGTTCAAAAACAGCCAAGCGGTTCTTTTTTTTCGACCACAATACCACAATAGCAGAACTTAAGAATCGGGATATGAAAAGGGAGGGGTGGTCCTGGCAGTGGCCCCTGGCCGGCGGGAATACACAGCAACACCCAGGCAGGGGCAGCGGGTGCCCCCATGCCAGCCTGCCCATCCCTGTAATGACAGCAGGGCAGGAGCTGCAGCTGTGGCCCTGGGGGTAGGTGGGCTCTGAGGCTGCAAACACCCTGAGTGCCAGTGGTCCCAGAGGGGGTGAGGCCTCTATCTGTACCTTTATTCCAGCCAGCCTTCTGGCACAGGGCTGGGCCCACATCCTGGCCTCTGCATCTGGATCAGGGCTGTTGATGGTCGGCCTGGTCACTCTGGCCAGTGCTCACACTGGAAGTCCATCACAGCTCACACTGGGAGTCCATCACAGGCGAAGTCACCTCCTTCCCAACACCCCACGCACGTGTCATCTCCAGTGAGCAGACGTCCAGGCTTCCCGAAGCTTCCTGGCTGGAAACCGCGCAGGGCTGGCAGCGCCCTCTCCACCAAGGGACACAGCAGCGGCGCCTCCTCCGGGGCCGGGGGCCCCATCCCGCGGCTCGCGCGGCCAGAACGCCCCAGGTCAGAGCCTGCCCCCACCCCGCACCCGGAGGCCAGCAGCCCAGTCCCCTAGGCCGCGCAGCGCCAGGGAGAGCGAGGCTGCAGGGCGAGGCCTGGTGAGGCGCTCGACAACTGGCCGGGAGGAGAAGTCAAGCTGCCCACCCGCCATGGCAGCCTCCGGCGCACGCAGAGCTTCACTGCTGAATTCTATCAAGCACTTAAAGAAGAAACAACACTAACTCTTCTTAAGCTCATTCAAAAATTTGAAGAGGAGAGAATACTTCTATACTCATATTACAAGGTCAGCTTTACCTGATGTTAAACCAGGCACAAGGAAACTATACAAAAAAGAAAACTACAGGCCAATATCCCTGATTAACACAGAAGCAAAAATCCTTAACAATATACTAGCAAACTGAATTCAATAGCACATTTAAAATATCATTTATCATTGATTCATACCAGCGATGCCAGAAAGGTTCAACATACGTAAATTAATAAATATGATACATCAAATTAACAAAATGAAGGACAAAAATAGAAAAAAATAATCCTCAGATTTTTATAGAACCACAAAAGACCTCAAATAGCCAAATCAATTTTGAGGAAAAAGAACAAAGCTGGAAGCATCACACTACCTGATTTCAAAATACACTACAAAGCTATAGTAACCAAGACAGCATTGCACTGGCATAAAAAGAAATATATCAACTGTTAAAGAAAACTCAATATAGCCTGAGAAGGACTCCTTACTTCTGTATTTGAGTCCTTGAGGATGAACTGCAACCTAGCTTAATAGTCAGGCAAAATTGAAAACCTAACTTAATAGTATACACCTGTAACAACAGCTGAGTGTTGGCCAATCCCAGCGGCCATACTTCAACCACTCATAGACTGCTGAATGTTCAAACTGGGTTCAAATAAGGCAAACGCCCAGCTGTAACCAATCTCACTGTTTTTGCACCTCACTTCCGATTGTTGGAAGTCACTTTACCTTTTTGTCTATAAACTTGCTCTGCTAGGGAGGCACACCTGGAGCCTCTGTGAATCTGCTCTGATTCTGGGGGCTGCCCGATTTGTGAATCGTTCATTGCTCAATTAAACTCCTTTAAATTTAATTTGGCTGACGTTTTTCTTTTATCAGATGGTGTCAGAAGCGGAATCCGAAGTGGAGCTTCTAGAGATACCCAGGAGCGCTGAGTGAACATTCAAGGTACCTGCAGGACCCACTTGTATCCATTGATCTCTCAGAGCTGATGGGGATCATGGGTAAGGTCCCTCTTGGATTTTGGAGCTCCACAGATTTGTGTTTTGAGCTCTCTGAGTTTCTTTGAGCAAATTTCTGATCCAAACTGGGTTTGGAGTTGAGACAGAAACTGGACTGGGTCCAGGAATGGAATTCATCTGGGAATTAACTGGCTTGGATCCAGTTAGAGGCCACTTACATCTGACTGGTTTGGAAAGGAACTGGTAGTAAGCAGTGATATTGCAGGGGTTGTAGAATTTGGCTTTCGAAAATTCACAGGGAATTTTTTGCTCTACCCCCTTTGTTTCATTTTTCTTGCATGCTTAAGTAGAAAAAAAGTCATTGGCTGAGTTAATCAAGAGACCCTGAGAGTAAAGCCAATATTTTAGGTAAAAATGGGATCCTTAATTTCTGGAAAACTGAGCTTCTTCTGGGTTGTACATTAGGCCTGGGAGGCAGCAAAGTCTTATAGATGGCAAAATCTTGCTAAAGATAACTTACAGTGGAATGTTCCGAATGAACAACAATGCACTGAAGTACATTTAAAAATGAGGGCTCTCGGTAAAGTCCCTTTTGGCTAAGAACAGGTTTGGCACTACAGGATGTCAACTGCTGTTCTCTTTGGAATAATCTGCTTTGCACTCTTTGCTGACAACTATGGCTGACAGAATTAGGCATATACAGAATAGGGGGGCATGGGGAGCTTCTTCCTCTCCAAAAAGGGGAAACTTGGGAGCTGATGGGACTACTGGAAAAAAAAAATCCCTTCATGACAGCAGCTGCAGCTGCCTGAACTTTTCAGTATTGCTGAAATGAGTGGGTCTTTCTCTGGCCTGCCTGAGCATTTCACCTTCCCCACCCCGCCGCAAGCAATGCTTTTCTCTCTCTTCTTGCCCTTTTTTATCTTTTCTATTACTCATGGCAACTATTTTGCCCAGAGACCAGGTGTTGAAACTCCTAGCCGGAGGTTTGTTTAAAGATGATGGGGCCCATCTGAGGGAAAATTTAAGCCTTGCCAGTTCGATATTGGGTGCTAAGCAGAGTAGCTAATAATTTATGTTTTATCACATGTATTTTGCTCTGGACAGAATGAAAAAAGTTAATTTTCCTTTATATTGTGGTTTGGTCCCCTGGGTGATGGTGTGGTAAGCTGGGTCACTGGGGCTGCTCAGGAAAAGGGAACCCAGAAGCCTGGCATACCGGCGTAAAGGTAAGAGAATTTCTTACCAGTCAGATTGCTGGCTTCTCTCTCTCTGTGCAAACGGTTGAATGGATGGTAAAAGTCACTGTTTATCTCTTCTGTAAAGTTTTGATTAATGAGAAAAAGAATTCGGAGGCTAGTCTTAAACTGATGTATTTGTATTTGTGGTATGAATTCGTTTTTCTGAGTCAAGGAGTACCGTAGAATAAAACCTGGGCTTAGGAACCCAAAAGCTTGCTGCTCAAGATGGTCCAGCAAGCTGGTCAATGACAAACTTTGCTGCAGGTCCCTGAAACGAACAAAAAGCGGGATGGGTTCTCCATCTTGTTTTACGTCCTTGAGAGCTTGACCTCGTAACCATGTGGCAGTACTTTGTGTTGGTCTCTGCCTTCCAGGGAACAGGAATTTTAGGGTTTATGCCATAGCTCTAAAAATTATCTTGAGTAGTTAAAAGCCTTTGCAAAATCAAAATTAACTACTCTAGATTTCTTCTGGGAAGCTCAATAAAGACTGTCCTGTGCTGTAGCTCAGGAGCCAAGATTCTGGCCATTTCACAACAGTGGTCCGGGTTTGATTCCCTGCTTAGGAAGTAAGTCCTTTCTGATTTAATATCTGTATAACCTTGTCTAGTCTCTTCTCCTCCATGGTCTATCTTAAATTTTTCTTCCTTGAGCACCTGGGAGGTTACCTTTGGTAAAGTTCAAAAGGCAGAAATATCAGCCTTTTGGCCTGTCTAAAACTGGGTAATAAGAAATTTTAAAAGGTCTGTATTACAGAGTGCTATGCTTAAAAGTCAGCTTAATTAAAAGTGGGTATTCCGGCTTTTAACAGCCTGGACTCCTTGGGAAAAACAAGAGGCACCAGAAACCCCTTTCTTGGCCTTGTTATTCCGAGGACTCCACCATAAAGCCAATAATCAATTAAGAAACTTAAAAACTGGCAAATGAAAAATCTTATAACTACTATAGTAATCTTATTCTGTCCGTCTCTCTGTCTAATTATATATATGTTGTGTGTAATGTTTATATATAAGAGCTCTAATTAATTGGCTTAAGCAAAAATAAGCACTTAAACCAAATATAATTAAAGCAAAATAAAAACTGCAGTGCCTTTTAGTTCACGTAACTTTTGCAATATTGGGGAAATAAAGACAACTTTAAAGATTATTGATAAAATAAAGACATTTTTTCTAAATTATGCATGTCAGATATTAGGTTTGCTAAATGCTTTAAGGTTATACACTACTTTGATGTTTGAAAATTGTTCAATTTATTTTGGAGACATTACATTCTAAATAAGGCCTGGGGATATATGGAATTACCCATGCCCCCTAGCTATGCAAAGAAGGTTATACAGAAAAGAGATTTTAAATAAGAAAGAATGTTGTATGGTAAATTCTTGTCCTAAGGTAAAATGACTGGTTGTTTAAAAAGAGGGATGTTTAGGGCAAGTCAGAAAGTCTAAACATGTTGTTCATGGTCTGTGAAAATCATGAAAGAATTTATAAAAAGGAATTTATGCCAGAAATGTTATACAATTTAAAAGTGATTAGTCCTCCTAAATGCTTCATAAAATGCCACTATGACTCTTAACTGTATAGTTTGCCTGCTTATAGCTAGCTAAGTCCTGAGACACGTGGAGTTAGAAGCTGGAAAGAGTCAGACCTTATCTGCATTTCTGTCTGGGTCCTAGTCTCCACACCTAGTACATAATTAAAATCTCTTACTTACCAAGATTTTCACCAAAAGTAAAAATTGCTAAGAGTTAACATTGTAATATGTAATTGAGACTACTGGAAAAATAGGTTTACATGCAAGGTGTGTAAGGAGAATGAAACGTGTTTTTTGTAAGAGATTATAGGAAAGTATGGGAATGTAGATTTTTGCCTAGGTTAGAGGGTTAAAGGATTGTTTTAAATTAAACAAAGCTAAAAGTTTGAACAAGTTGTGGAAGTTTTATAAAAGTTGATTATAAGAGATTCTATGTGTGAACATAGTGGCTAAAGTTAAAATGGGATTATTCGTTGTTATTTTTTTCCCCATAAATTGGACATTGGAATAAAAGCACAACAGAGTTTTCTTAGAATATTGTTCTGCTCTGAGAAAAAAAAATGTAAAGGATTATAAAAGGTTTATAAAAATCTTACCTTATGGTCAAATTAATTAAAACTGAATATATTTATAAAATGTTACTAAAACCTAGTTTTATCATTAAAAATATGCTAATGAAATGTAAAATTTGGTTTTCTCTTTTTAAAGGATTTTTATGTAATATCAAAAGATAATGAAAGGTTTTTGTTTACTTCTTAAAAAAGGAGGGGGAAGGAAAGAAAGGAGATAGTCAGTTGGCCTCATGCTATCTTCTTTGGGTCTTGTTTGGAAAGCTGGGTCTCTATCAGAATAATGTTTTTTCCTTTAAAAAATTTTTGAGTTATCAATTTGACTAAATGAATGACTTATGGTAACTTAAGATTCTATTTTGTAATATCCAATGTTTTAAACCTTTGGTATTTAACAAACCTTTCAAAATCAAGCTCTAGATTACCGTGCTAAATCAATCAGCCAATACTAAAGTTGTTTAAATATACAATTTGAATGAACTCCCTGGTCTAAGTCAAATTACCTGTGATAACTTACTAGTTATCAGTGCTATGCACCTGAATTAGAGAAACAGCTGGTATTCAAGAGAACGTAAGTCTAATGTTAAGCATGGGCTTGTGAAGAACCCAGGTGGCCACCTTGTCCTTCAGGAGTCCTTAAAGCTTTCGTTATTAAAGGTTCTGCATTCCATGACTTATCATGAAAAAGATAAAATAATCCAAATAGATAAATAGCATTGCAGGAAACTATGAAGCTTCTACACAGCAAAGGAAATAATCAACAGAATGAAAAGTCAACATATATAATCAAAGAAAATATTTGCAAAATATGTCTGATAAGGGGTTAATATCAAAATATACAAGAAGTTGAAATAACTCAATAGCAAAAAAAAAACAAAACTCAATTTTAAAATGGATAAAGACCTCAAATAAACGTTTCTCAAAGAAGATGTACAAATGGCCAATAGGTATAGGAAAAAATATGTCCAACATCACTAATCATCAGGATAAGGCAAATTAAAGCCCCAGTGAGCTATCACCACATGCCTGTTAGAATGCCTATTATCAAAAAGTCAAGTAATAACAATGGTTGGAGAGGATGTGGAAAAAAGGGAACCCTTGCACACTGTGAGAGTGTAAATTAGAACGGCCATTATGGAATACAGTATAAAAATCCCTCAAAAAACTTAAAATAGAACTACCACATGATACAGCAATCCCTAATAGGTTTATATTCAAACAAAAAATGATCTCAGTATGCTGAAGAGATAGCTGAACTCCCATTTTTATTGCAGCATGATTCACAATAGCCAAAATATAGGATTAATCTAAGTGTCCACCAATGGATAAATGCATAAAGAGAATGGGGTATATATACACAATGGAATACTATCCAGCCATCATTAGCATTAATCAGTAATCATTCTATCATTTGCAACAACATAGATGAACCTGGAGGACATTATGTTAAGTGAAATAAGCCAGGCATAGAAAATTAAATACTACATGATCTCACTCATATGTGGACTCATAGAAGTAGAGTAGATTGGTAGCTACCAGGGCTGGGGTGTTGGAAGGTGGGGAAGCTGAGGAGATATTAGTCAAAGAATAAAAACTTCTTTGTTAGGTAGGAGAAATAAATTTAAGAAATCTACTGTAAAACATGTTGTCTACAGTTAACAATGTATCATGTTCTTGAAAAATTCTGGCAAAGTGGATGTAATGTGCTCACAACAAATCTGGCAGTGATGATGCATATGCTAATTAGCTGGAATTTTGTCATTCCACAACATATATATACTTTAAAGCATCTTATTGTATATAATAAGTACATGTAACTTTATTATTGTATGAACAAAGTGCTTCAGTGTTGAGCACATTTTAAAAAATTGCTTAGCACTGCCTTTAGTTCAAATTGTTAAAGGACACTATTAAAATGTAAATGTTAACTAGAAAACCAACTATACAAACACACGTACATCAATTTAAATCATTCATTTTTTTATTACTTTTATTTTTATTTTTTTATTTTTTTGGCCAACCTCAGCCTATAGTCCATTCAGATAATCACTGACACATGAGCAAAGATCCCAGCTGAGACTGATGCTAGGACTCATAGCAGGTTTTTTGGGCAGACAAGAGCAAGAGGCAGGATTTGCATTGTGAGTGTTAAGAGGAGATAAGGAGAACAGAATTGATAGGAGAAAACAGTGAGCAGAAATGGAGGATGCTGAATTGTGAAATTTATGTTGGAGCACCTAAATCAGGCATCCTAATTTTTCCAGGAGTGATTTTCAGTTCAAAGAAATGGGAGCTTACCTACTACAAGCTCCTATAATAGTTCAAGTGGAAAAGAGACAAGAATTATTAAGCAGTCAGGTCGCGGAATCTCTCTCTTAATCTTCACTTTTTAAAAAGTTTCACTTGGGCCCTTGCTGACCCTTCCTTGAAATCTCCAGTACCACAGCCCTCCTTCACAATGGAAAGCATCAGACGTCGGCTCTGTTTATGATTCTGACATGTAATCTAGCTCCTGAATTAATATGCAGCACAGTTGAAATTACTGGAATCACGCTCTGAAATCATGCTAAGCACACACTTTGTATACACGATGACCTTCAATAAAGATCACAAATGTGTATTTCCATTTTCGAATGAGAACATTTAACTCCAGGATTACCACCCAGAGTGCCATGTTCACATTGTTGGGGCATGATTAATTTTGAATTATAAAAATAGAACTCTTTTCAATCATATCTTAGATTCCATTCAAACCTGGTATGAAAGCAAGTATAATACACAGAAATACTATGAAGGGTGCAAATTAAACCCACACAAAGAGGGATTTGGGCCAGATTTCTGAAAGAACAGTCAAACTTAGTTCATGTCACTGTTTTGCAAACATAAATTAAAGAAGGGAAAGTGCCAATATCCTGACCGCGTAACAGCATGAACTTAGCCTCAGGCCTAAAGTCTAAATTACCCATTAATAATATTTTCAGTCTTATTCAAACTGGGCACGATCCTTGGAGCAATACAGGAGAGTTTGATGCTTGGTGAGTATTACTAGCCCACATATGTGAGGTAATAACATTCTCCAGTGGGAGGAGGAAACAGAGGTAATTTACCAAATGGTACCCTACTGACCTGAAAGAACTGATTTACCTCATATGGAGGTTTCATTTTAGTGGAAATTTTATTTACCAGGCTTTATTGTGAGTCTGAGATATTTTACGCCGATTAAGAGTGAATTGGAATATTCTTCTTCCCTATGGTCCTTTTTTTGAAGTAGGAAGGTTCATATTTGTTTTCAGATTACAAAGTGCTGACTTAATATTCTAGAACTGGAAATTGGAGGTATGCTATAGCATATTGAGCTATATTTTCATCTTCACTAAGTCAGAATTATAACTGTTATGGAATTTTAAAACTGCAGATTTACAAAGGAGATTATTTTCTTTTTGAAACAGTTGGCATACGTTATTATATCAAATTCTGAGTTTCTTTGTGTTTTATGTTCTATGGAAAATTTCATTTAAATGTGATATATTGGGGGTTTCCTAGTCTTTGGCTTAGGATCAAGTTACTAAAAATTAGTTTCTTTCACTAAAGAAAAAGAAACATCTTCGATCCAAGTAGGTAAAGTGAAGAATTCACTTATATAGGTATGTACAAAGACAGGTTGTCACTTTGCAGTGCATTTTGTCACTGTAATTTCTGTTTAGAGAAATCATTTTCAGGATAATTTTGAGACCACTCAAAAATTTTACCATCATAAAAAACAAATTCCTTGTCAAGCTCACAAAGTAGAAAACCCAATTGACTTGAGGAGTTAGAAGGAGAAATAATTACTGAAACACAATTCCAAATGCTCTGAGAACTGCATATCATATTTTGTCCTGTGGGTCTCTAAAGGACTCAACTGACAATAATGCTGTTGCTAACCCCTGTGATACTCCCGCTGCGTCGTTTAGAGTTCTCTCATCATTAAATAACAGACATTTTGTGGAACTGATAAACATAGTCCTCAGCATTAACTAAATAATCCTCCCAATAGTCTGGTAAAACAGATGGAGCGAATAAAACAGAGAAGTTGTTAAGAGGCTTAACTCAGTCCATAGAGACAACCTTGTGACTTAGTTAGTATTGGACCTCCCTAGTTTAAGTTTATGACACCTTCTCTTCCATTTTTTACTAATAAATACCAACCATGCCTCCAAACCACAGCCATCCCAACCCCCCATCCCTCGTGATTGTCTTTCATTCTTTCCATTTAATTAAGAACAGGACACAGTCCTGCTGCAAAGGAAACTGTAGCTTTCTCCTGTATGTATTTGCTTATGTACATATTCATAAACACTAAAATAGCTTTTAATAGGACATAATTTCAAACAAATATATTTTTTCTTGTTTTATAGGGCCAATTTAGTTTAAAGCACATTGTTTATATCAGCTTCTAAATTAATTCCACTTTTTACACTTTGCCACAATCAACCCCTCTTAATTAAACAAAATCCATTCTTTTTCTTTGTGTTTCTTCTTGATGACAAGCACGTATGAGGAGAGAATAAGAGAATATAAGAGAGTATAATCTGGCTGCAGTCTTGCAGGAAGCCATAGTGGGAAAGGAAAATGATGACTAAACAAATAATTATGGTCATAATAATGATAATACTTCCTGGAAGTTCACCATGTTCCAGACCATATGATAAGCATACCTTACTTCATTTGATTCCTTGAAGTAGGAGCTCCATTTTCTGTTTTCACAGACCATGGAACTGAAGTTTGCCAGGTTAATGGCTTAATAGATTGAACTCATATAAATAGCTAGTACCCCATTCTCCCATTCAAGGCTTATCAAACAGTCTTTTAATATTTTTATTTTTTAATCTAATTTTCCCACATGAAGCTTGTCTGACGGTTTTGATTCCCACAATAATT
Organism: Homo sapiens; assembly: GCF_000001405.40. NCBI lineage: Eukaryota > Metazoa > Chordata > Mammalia > Primates > Hominidae > Homo > Homo sapiens. The sequence goes on from NC_000007.14 coordinate 84,949,551, forward strand.
AATACTTTTCATTCTAGTTTATATTTTTATAATTTTTCTTGGCTCAAATTCTATTCCAAACTCCAATCAACTCTGGGTCAGTGACAAATAGGATTTCAGAACCCGCAGAGTTGAGGGTTGTTTTAAAAATTATTATTAGGTCATGCTACCATGTCAGTTTTTGTGGTTAGTGGTTTTTCTCTCAAATACCAGTTGATCCTAGAAAACTTTTTTGAGTTTCAGATGGATGTAAATGCTATTTTTGTAGAGCCCTTTTGAAGTATCCCTACAGTGTTATATTTATTTTTCTACCTTATTCATATGATATTCTTTTTCAAATAATATATGCCTTATGACAGAAACTACATCTTGCCAAATTGAATTCTTCAGGGTTGACATTGTATGGTATACAGTGAGTCTCAATAAATATTAATAATTGAACTGAATTTTACTTTCTTGAGAAGAGGCCTTTATGATGCCTTTAACTTTTCTTTGCAACACCTGTTCAATATTTTTGTCTCTTTGCCTGTCTTTTGTTAATTCCTTCTTGTTTCAGAGGAGTAGAGGTCTCTTCTTGTATCTGAATGTGACCCTGATTTTTTTGCACTGTGGTCATGACTGATTTATTTTACTTTTTGACCAGTAGCTACTCAGTGTTCACTCTTTCTGCTTGGATGCTCTTACAACTGTCTCTTCTTTTCCATTTAATCACGTCTTCTTTTGAGTTCTCAAAATTCCTTCCAAAAGGTGCAATATGAAAAGGAGGGGAGAAAGGGCAACTTCATAATGGATAAACACACCTGACCCCGGTGATCAGGATCAGCATCAACAGTGATAAATCATGCTAAGAGTATGTATACTTGATACAAGTCATGATCATAAGAGGCACTATGCCTCTGTGGTCTTCCTCCCAAGAATGCGTAATCCCACTCTAACTGGGAGGAAAACACCAGACAAATTCCAACTAGGCAAACTACCTCACCAGTACTATCAAGAAATTCAAGGTCATTGTTTTAATTTCCTGTGGCTACCATAACAAATTACCACAATCTTGGTAGTTTATGAAAAAAAAAAAGCAAAAATCCCTTAGAGTTGTGGGGGCAAATAGTAGTCTGAAATCAAAATATTGGCATGGCTGTGCACACTCCTGAGACTCCAGGAGAGATTCTGTTCCTTAACCCTTCTAGGTTGCGGTAGCTGTCAGCGTTCCCAGGTTTATGTCTGCATCACTCCAGACTCTGCCTCTGTCACTTTGCTTCTTCCTCTTCTTAGCATGTGTCTGTCTTCTGTGTGTCTCTCATAAGGGTGGATCAAATAAAATAAGGTGATCTTGAGACCTTTACTTAATCATATCTAAGGGAACTTTTTCCTAGAAAGGTTACATTAAAAGGTTCAAGGAGATTAGGAAATGAAAATAGCTTTTTTGAGGACCACCATTCAAACCACTACAGTCATCAACAATGAGGGAAGGGAAGTCTGAAATTGTGGCAGCAAAGAAGAGCCTGAGCAGAAATGATGACTCAATGTCACATGGTACCCTGGATGGGATCCTTAAATAGACAAAGGACATTAGGTAATACCTAAGAAAATCTGAGTAAAGTATGAACTGTAGTTAATGATAATATGTCAATATTGGTTTATTCATTGTAAATAATGGACCATATTAATATAAGATGCTAGTAACAGAGGAAACCATATGTGGAGTATATGGGATCTACAACTATTCTAAAAACAAAGTTAGCTTTAAAATAATTCTATGTTTACTCTTCTATAAGAGGGCTGTCTAATAGAAATATAATGCACACCACTAGTGTAATTTAAAATTTTCTGGAAGTTGCATTTCAAAAAGTAAAAAAATTAATGTTAACACTTTAGCTGAGTATGTACAAAATATTATCAGTTCAACATGATTGATATCAAATAATATCAATTAATAATTGATATAATTAATAATTATAATTCATTAATTATTAATATTATTTGGTATCAGGGTCTTTCTCTGTAGCCAAAGATGGAGTGCAGTGGTGTAATTAGAGCTCACTACAGCCTTCAGCTCCTGGCATCAAGCAATCCTCCTACCTCAGCCTCACGAGTAGCTAGGACTACATACACTTGCTAGAACACCTGGCTAATTTTTGTTATTATTTGTGGAGATAGAGGTCTCCCTATGTTGCCCAGGCTGGTCTCAAACTCCTGGGCTTAAGTGATCCTCCTGCTTCAGCCTCCCAAAGTGCTTGGATTACAGGCACGAACCATAGAACTCAGCCTGATATAAGATTATTTATAAGATATATTACAGTCTTTTTTGGTGGTGTGTTCATGTGTAATACCAGAAATAACAGATGTCTGACAGAACTATGATCCAGTAACAATACAATAGACAATACAACCATTAAAGTGAAATGTCATCCTTTTCAGTTTTAACAGAAAACATATTTTGCATTGCTTCAGTTTTTAAACTTAATATATTAAATTACATAAAATTCAAAATTCAGTTCTCAGTCATAGCCACTTTTCTAGTGGCTAGCTCATTGAACAATATGTCCATATGTTTTGCTGGTTGCTTTTTCCATTATCTATTACTGTATAACAAACTATCCCCTAAAACAGTGACTTAAAATAACAATAATGTATTATGTCTCAAGATTCTTTGAGTTGACCGTGTAGTCATTTTTCTGGTCTTGCTTCAGGTTTCTCATGCTTTTCGAGTCTGAGAGCTGCTGCTGCTGGAATGTCCCAAGTCTGGCTCCTCAGCAGGGAGAGGTATATGGCTGGGCTGGTCTTGGATGCTGGAATGGCTGAGCCACTCTCTTTTTTTCCTGTAGTCTCAGGTTTTCTCTCTCTACACATGCCCTTTCTTTGTGGTCTCTCCAGCAGGCTAGCCAGATTTATTGCATGGTTGTTCAGGGCTTCCCAAAGCTCAGAAGGAGAAACCGCCAGGCCTTCCTAAGGCTTAGGTCTGGAACTTGCACAGTGTTACTGCTGCTGCCCGCTATTGTTTAATTAGACTCACATAGCCAGCACAGAATCAAAATGAAGGGGAAATACACAAGGGCATAAATACTAGAAGGCGTGGTTTACTGTGGGCCATCTTGGAGATTAGTGTTCTTGAGTGTTGGTTAACTTTTCAACAAGTATTTATTTTTTCAATCTTTTTTTTTTCTTTTTTAACACCATAAAGACCAAACCATGCCTCGCTACTGAGTTTTCCCCCAGTATGAGGAAGGTGGGATTCAAATCCAGGTAGTTGTTCAGATTTCTGAGCACCTGCCTTTTTTTTGTTAATTGTTTAAGTGTTACATTTGTCGACCTAAAAATCTTCTAAGCAGTGGGGAAAAAAAAGAAGGAAATGGGTCTGCTAAACAGTATTTTAAATCCCTGATGTTATGCTTCTTATGCTTAAAGAAGTTCTAATTAACTCAAACTACCTGCAGTCAAAATTAATTAGATTTGTTGTGAAAAGTTCTTTCTTTCTCTGTCTTCCTCTCTCACTCTCATTCATTCTTGCTCTTGCTCTCACTCTCTCTTCTGGGTAAATCCTGGTGGTGCCTTGAAAACTTCTGCCAGTTTTACACAATCTTTTCACTTAAAAGCCAAAGTGAAACACATTTATCTAATCACCCATTCAGGGCTCTTTCTGCTGACCTTAACCTCTTTCTCCTTGTTTGTAATCAGTGCAGACTCATCAGTGACATTACCAGTTCCACGTAATCTAATATGTTTGCATTCCATATTTTTCTTAGGCAAAGAAATCAACTCTGATAAAGTAATGACCTCAACATAATTGTCGTTAACAAAAAGGTTACAATGTTCTCACTGGAATAATAGAGCTGAGAATCACTTTGTTCTGTGACTCTACGTCTTACTTGGCTCTGAACTCTTTTAACACAACAAATAATCATGCCTTATTAAGCACCTGCTCAATGAGGTTTGGAAATCGGACTGCGGCAGCATTAAATCCTGACCTTTGACTTCTTCTGTCAGATGCCAGAATGATGATTTCTACTGGATCTTGGCTTGACATTAGGGAGCAATTGGCTAATCCTCAGACTCTTCAAACTAGCTCTCTGGTCCCTTGCTAAAGCCCATCTTGTTCTGCATCTTAGATTTATTATGATTTATTTACCATGTGAGGTAACAATATCTCCTTTTATCTTTAAAAGGAATAGCATCTATATGATTTTAAATCCTGGTTATCAAGGGAAGTCAGAAAAAATGTTTTAAAACTTAGAAATAAGCTTTTGTCTCTTCCTTTTGTCTTCCTTCCTAATATAGAATTTGGACAAGTGAATAAGTGAAGAGAAGTGTGAGAGGAAAAGAGACTGGGTCTGATTAGCTGAAGCTTCACAATTAAGGGGGACGTATTAGAGAAACACTACACTCAGAGCAAAGAACTGTGGATTTAAATCACTTTTCCCAAGAGTGGGCCTAACAGATTTCGGTGGAAATGTAATCACTGGGCCTTTAGGGTTTTAAAAATGTAGTGGCATTGCCTTTAAGTCACAAATATGAAGCCCAGAATTGTGAATAATGTCAGCCCAGATAATGTACTAAATGAAGTGAAGAAAAAAAATATTTTGGTAGACCAGATAGGAGAGATGAACAGATGTACTCAAACAGAAAATGTAAGAAAAATGAAACTCACATTAAATATTTATTATGTGTCAGGCACTGTGCTGGGCATATCATAAAGGGGAAAACTCAACCAGAGCTGGATTCGGTTTGCCAGTATTTTATTGAGGATTTTTGCATCGATGTTCATCAGGGATATTCATCTAAAATTCACTTTTTTTGTTGTGTCTCTGCCAGGCTTTGGTATCAGGATGATGCTGGCCTCATAAAATGAGTTAGGGAGGATACCCTCTTTTTCTATTGATTGGAATAGTTTCAGAAGTAATGGTAATAGCTCCTCTTTGTACCTCTGGTAGAATTCGGCTGTGAATCCGTCTGGTCCTGGACTTTTTTCGGTTGGTAGGCGATTAATTATTACCTCAATTTCAGAGCCTGTTATTGCTCTATTCAGGGATTCAACTTCTTCTTGGTTTAGTCTTGGGAGGGTTTATGTGTCGAGGAATTTATCCATTTCTTCTAGATTTTCTAGTTTATTTGCATAGGGGTGTTTATAGCATTCTCTGATGGTAGTTTGTATTTCTGTGGGATTGGTGGTGATATTCCCTTTATCATTTTTTATTGCATCTATTTGATTCTTTTCTCTTTTCTTCTTTATTAGTCTTGCTAGTGGTCTATCAATTTTGTTGATCTTTTCAAAAAACCAGCTCCTGGATTCATTGATTTTTTTGAAGGGCTTTTTGTGTCTCTATCTCCTTCAATTCTGCTCTGATCTTAGTTATTTCTTGCCTTCTGCTAGCTTTTGAATGTGTTTGCTCTTGCTTCTCTAGTTCTTTTAATTGTGATGTTAGGGTGTCAATTTTAGATCTTTTCTGCTTTCTCTTGTGGGCATTTAGTGATATAAATTTCCCCCTACACACTGCTTTAAATGTGTCCCAGAGATTCTGGTATGTTGTGTCTTTGTTCTCATTGGTTTCAAAGAACATCTTTATTCTGCCTTCATTTCGTTATGTACCCAGTAGTCATTCAGGAGCAGGTTGTTCAATTTCCATGTAGTTGAGTGGTTTTGAGTGAGTTTCCTAATCCTGAGTTCTAGTTTGATTACACTGTGGTCTGAGAGACAATCCAGCAGCACATCAAACAGCTTATCCACCACAATCAAGTTGGCTTCATCCCTTGGATGCAAGGCTGGTTCAACATATGCAAATCAATAAACACAACCCATCATATAAACAGAACCAAAGACAAAAACCATATGATTATCTCAGTAGATACAGAAAAGACCTTTGACAAAATTCAACAGTCCTTCATGCTAGAAACTCTCAATAAACTAGGTATTGGTGGAACGTATCTCAAAATAATAAGAGCTATTTATGAGAAACCCACAGCCAATATCATACTCAATGGGCAAAAACTGGAAGCATTCCCTCTGAAAACTGGCACAAGACAGGGACATCCTTTCTCACCACTCCTATTCAAAATAGAGTTGGAAGTTCTGGTCAGGGCAATCAGGCAGGAGAAAGAAATAAAGGGTATTCAATTAGAAAAAGAGGAAGTCAAATTGTCCCTGTTTGCAGATGACATAATTGTATATTTAGAAAACCCCATCGTCTCAGCCCAAAATCTCCTTAAGCTGATAAGCAACTTCAGCAAAGTCTCAGGATACAAAATCAATGTGCAAAAATCACAAGCATTCCTATACACAAATAATAGACAAACAGAGACAAATCATGAATGAACTCCCATTCACAATTGCTTCAAAGAGAATAGTATACCTAGGAATTCAACTTACAAGGGATGTAAAGGACCTCTTCAAGGAGAACTACAAACCACTGCTCAATGAAATAAAAGAAGACACAAACAAATGGAAGAACATTCCATGCTCATGGGTAGGAAGAATCAATATTGTGAAAATGGCCATACTGCCCAAGGTAATTTATAGATTCAATGCCATCCCCATCAAGCTACTAATGGCTTTCTTCACAGAATTGGAAAAAACTACTTTAAAGTTCATATGGAACCAAAAAAAGAGCCCACATTGCCAAGACAATCCTAAGCCAAAAGAACAAAGCTGGAGGCATCACACTACCTGACTTCAAACTATACTACAAGGCTAAAGTAACCAAAACAGCATGGTACTGGTACCAAAACAGAGATATAGACCAGTGGATCAGAACAGAGGCCTCAGAAATAATACCACACATCTGCAACCATCTGATCTTTGACAAACCTGACAAAAACAAGAAATGGGGAATGGATTCTCTATTCAACAAATGGTGCTGGGAAAACTGGCTAGCCATATGTAGAAAGCTGAAACTAGATCCCTTCCTTACAACTTACACAAAAATTAATTCAAGATGGATTAAAGGCTTAAATGTTAGATCTAAAACTATGAAAACCCTAGAAGAAAACCTAGGCAATACCATTCAGGACATAGGCATGGGCAAGAACTTCATGACTAAAACACCAAAAGTAATGGCAACAAAAGCCAAAATTGACAAATGGGATCTAATTAAACAAAAGAGCTTCTGCATAGCAAAACAAACTATCATCAGAATGACCAGGCAACACACAGAATGGGAGAAAATTTTTACAATCTACTCATCTGACAAAGGGCTAATATCAAGAATCTACAAAGAACGTAAACAAATTTACAAGAAAAAAATCAAATAACCCCATCAAAAAGTGGGCAAAGGATATGAACAGACACTTCTCAAAAGAAGACATTTATGCAGCCAACAGACACACGAAAAAATGCTCATCATCGCTGGCCATCAGAGAAATGCAAATCAAAACCACAATGAGATACCATCTCACACCAGTTAGAATGGCAATCATTAAAAAGTCAGGAAAAAACAGGTGCTGGAGAGGATGTGGAGAAACAGGAACACTTTTACACTGTTGGTGGGACTGTAAACTAGTTCAACCATAGTGGAAGACAGTGTGGCGATTCCTCAGGGATCTAGAACTAGAAATACCATTTGACCAAGCCATCCCATTACTGGCTATATACCCAAAGGATTATAAATCATGCTGCTATAAAGACACATGCACACATATGTTTTTTGCAGCACTATTTACAATAGCAAAGACTTGGGACCAATCCAAATGTGCAACAATGATAGACTGGATTAAGAAAACGTGGCACATATACACCATGGAATACTATGCAGCCATAAAAAAGGATGAGTTCATGTCCTTTGTAAGGACATGGATGAAGCTGGAAACCATCATTCTCAGCAAACTATCGCAAGGACAAAAAACTAAACACCGCATGTTCTCACTCATAGGTGGGAATTGAACAATGAGAATACTTGGACACAGGGTGGGGAGCATCACACACTGGAGCCTGTCATGGGGAGAGGGAAGCGGGGAGGGATAGCATTAGGAGATATACCTAATGTAAATGACAAGTTAACGGGTGCAGCACACCAACATGGCACATGTATACATATGTAACAAACCTGCACGTTATGCACATGTACCCTAGAACTTAAAGTATAATTAAAAAGATAAAAATAAAGAAATGATAAAAAAAAAGCGTAGCAGCCTTTCAAACGGAGTTAGAACAAAGAGATTGGAATAGAAAGGAGAAAGCAGCATTTTAATAATGGATTTATAACTTGGATTTGCTGAAAACATCTGAATATCCCTTCCAATTCCCAAAATAGGGCACACTGGAGCTTCACATCAAACTATGAAAACTTAAACGGAGGATACGCAGTTTTCTACTTCCAGCAATTTACTAAGTTCTATCAATTCTATGAGGTCTCCAATGTCCTTATTATTCATTCCTCCCCTTTTTGCTTAAGTTGTTCACAGTGTTTCTGTTGTTTGCTGCTATGAACTGAAACTAGCTCCCTGCCACAATTGTAGACATTTTACGCTGTTGTTGTTCCATATGTCTTAATTTAGATTCAGGGAATGGATGCCTTTTAAGAATCCGGGATGATGGCTGCTAAACAGAATCTAAGGTCAATACCTAATAAACTATCTAAGAGGAGGGAGAAAGAGAGGATAAGAGTACTCAAAAGTCTTTAATGTAGAGAGTAGGGCCTATATCAGGGGCTAGGATGATAAATTATCTGGAATACAGAATTTCTGAAGAGAAACAAGAAATAGGATAATGGTGATTGTCAGGGAGGTAGCTTTGAATTCACTATTGCTTTTTTGTTTTGTTCTGTTTTACATTGCTTTAATTTTTCAATCACTGTTAGCAAAAAATTAAACTTGAAATTCAAAAAGAAAATAATTTAATCCTATTTAGACATTATAAGAAGTGAAGGAAATAATCTAAAGTAAAAATTGAGAGTGGAAATTGTTATATTTGCAAATGAAAAAGTCTGAAAATGCTGGGTCTCATGCCAGGATCTACAAAATAAGAGAAAAGACAAAGAATAGTTATTAAAAGTGCTTAATCTGGGGTCAACTTCTTCAGTGGCCCTAGTAGGAAAATTGACTTGACCAGGAACTTGACCAAGTGGACTGAGCACTATGAAACTTCTAAGAGATTCTCAATATTCAAATAAAATTGACCTGAACTGCACTTATGAGACACACATCCATGACCTTTGCCTTTGTAGAATTCAGTTTTCATCTCATCCAACATGCCTGCTCACAACATGTATTCAGTCACAGAGGCACTGACGCTGAGATTATCATTATTACGTCTCAAACTAATAATTAAGACATCTGAAACTTGGTGTTCCTATAGATTAAGATATTAGGAGTTCTTTAGGACAGTATGGTAGTGAGAGAGAAAATAAAATTAGGAGGATGTTGGAAAAGGTGCTTAAAGGTAGAGAAATGTAGGATTCATGCAAGGCGCTTAGCTTTTTTGTTCAGCTCTTCTCCAGAACTAGGCACACTATGGAAACATGATCAGAACTGAGTGACGAAACATGTAAGTTGTTCTTGGCCAATGCTTCAAAACTGGGGTAAACTGGGATAAACTGATGCAGTTTCTTGCAACTGGAGAGTATTGACTTCTGGGTTTCCAGCCTTGTAAGGCCTTACTGGGATGGCCAAATGACAAGCAATCGAGTTCCTGAGAACCTGCCTGTGTTGTGGCCCAATGCATGGGAAGCACTAATCTAATCTATGAAAACTTCATTTTAAATAGACTCTTCTTCAGGTCTGATATTAGCCTATCCTGACCTTTGTACCTGCTGGATTGCTGGCACTTTTGTGGGGTAAATATGCTGTCCTTCCTCTGATTAAATGCAGCCCCTACTTGGCAATATCTGAGACCTGGCAAGAGGTATGTGACCTGGATTTAGCTCCTGCTCACTCCTCTACTGGGTACCCATGTATAGTATGTCTATTCAGTATTCTATTATCCTTTCTTTTATTGAACTAATTTTATGCAGTCTCCAATCTAGTGGTCATTGATGACCTTATTCTTTTAAATTTATCAGTTATGCTTCTGTCTTCATGAATTCTTTCTTAGGCTCAAATATTCCCTTCTTCACCTAATTGTTTACTCAAGTTTAAGAGTTTCATATTCTCTTAAATCTACCTAAAAAAGGAAAAAGAAACCTAAAATGTCTCTTCCCTGTCATCTTTCTGTGTTGTTGTTTTTGTTTTAGTTTGTTTTCTATCAAACAAATTCATACCAAATCACGTCATCTAATAGTTCAAGATAGTGTTGAAGCTCACCAGTTATGACGTCCAGGAACACACCTGTAATGTTTATTTCCCTTGCTGTAGACATGTGAGGTATCTAGAGAAGACGTTTTTAAGAGGTGCTTGCTTATTACAATACTTGGCTTGGACTGCGTGATTCTAAGAAGGGATTAAGAAAGTGAAGGCTCAATTTGAATTGAGTGCTGTCAGGAAGCAGGGGCAGTTCAGTGGCTATGTGTCTTAGTTATTTTTTATCTAGGAGGGGAGAAGATTAAAGCCAAGCTAGAGCTGTCATTGACAAAGTAGTAGTCCCTCATGTTACTAAAAAGAAGAACTGTTATTTTTGTATGCAGAGTATTTCTGTCTCTGTCTTGTTTTAGGCATAGTTGTGGAGCAGTTTTACCTGTCTTGTCCACCATAGTCCCCGGGTGGCCAAGTCTGGTTTTTGTTTATATTCTTCAAGGGTTGTTTATATTTAGTTGAAAATATTAGACCTAACTACTAGGTCTCAACTGCCAGGTATTAATCTTTTTCAATGCATAAACTTTTTATAATATGCTTGCTTTTCTCTATTTGGTCTCACTTCTCTCCAGGTCTTTTCTAGTGGAGAGTGCTGATGCATAGTTAAGTGGAAAATAGAACGGATCCTGTCAGATACCAGGGTGAGGCCTTTCCTGAAATCTTCAGGCTGCAAAAATAGAGAGGAAAAATAGAGCTAATGTGAATTTGAACTTTGCAAATATCAAAGATCTTTGCTGGAGAGTAAAGAGAGTATATAGGTCAAAGAAGTGACAGTACAGAATTTTGCTCCTGTGAAACCATCTAATGGCATAAAGGAGCCTTGTGCATTCTACCTAGATTGGCCATACAATTCAAGGATAGCCCCCAAGTATCTGTGTTTTGGATTGATGATCCACCCACTTTAGATTCCCCTTTGTGATTTCCATCTTGTATTAGGGAGATTAGTGGGCTCTTGTCAGAATTACCTACAAACTGCAATAATATGGGGGAAATCCCAAGTGTTTCTTCCATACTGTACCTTAAATTCATCCCTTCTGGCTACATACAGCAAAAGCTCTAAAAGTTCTGGAAGGTCTTCAGTAGCAGACTTCTTTAGTTTTTATATCTAATATAGCTTTTCCTTATTTTTATATTCACCTGATAATTTCCATGGCAACTGGTGTGAGGAAAAAGTAATTGGTTTGAAAGATAATTATTTCACTCTCTTATCTAGAGAAATGTATGTGATTTCTAAAGATTGAAACAGAAAAGGTATATTGCCTATGATGAGCAGTTAAAAGTTTTTATATGTGAATCGTTATAATCTCTGCAAAATTTCATTAATCCAAAATTTTCAGAGTGAGATAAACTGTATGCCCCATTCGTACCCTTTGGTAAGGAAAGTTTCAAGTGTCTTCCTGCTGCATAACCCAACACTTCAAACATAAACATATCTATCAAAGGAATGACCAGATAGCCAGTTTACAAACCTGCTGACCTGTTCTTAAGGAAGAATTTTGTGAACAGGAGTTAGTCTAATGTTAAACCTCAAATTGACTTCCTTTTACCATCCAGAAAATCCTAACACTGACTCTTGAAACCAATGAATATGTAGTAAAGGAATGTGTGCATTTTACTATTATGTTCAGAAAAACATAATTTATAAGTAAAAAGTACTGCAACCATCAATGCCTGATAAAGGAAAAATACCTTAAAATTGTTTTTATTTTTGCCATTGCTCACTAATTTGAATGAGATTGATAAGGATGAATTTCTTTCTCTCTCTCTCTCTCTCTTTCTTCCTTTCTTTTTTTGAGACAAGGTCTCAAAAAACTATGTTTCCCAGACTGGTCTCGAACTCCTGGGCTCAAACAGTCCTCCTGCATTGGCCTCCCAAATGCTGGAATTACAGGTGTGAGTCACCACGCCCAGCCCTAGGATGAATTTCTTTTTAATTGGCATGTTATTTAGGTGCTTTCAGAAATATATTTATAGATTTTCAAAATGAGAGAAACTTTGGAAGTCATCTAGCTTATAAATGTATCTAGCTTAGAAAATACTGTAAAAATGAGTTCCATTTTGTTAAGTACATAGTCCTTAAAAAAGGTAAATTGCAGCTTTAATTTATTTAGACTCTTTATAAATATGCTCTGTGAATTTTCAAGACAGGATAGAAAATAGAGAATTGCCCAAACTAGTCTTATCAGACAACCCATTTTATGATTCATATCTGTTAAAATTTTCTAGAAACACATTTTAAGAAGCACTATTTAGAAAACTCACATCTGTCCAAACTTTCTCATTTTCTTTAATGAAATCTGACAGAGATAAGCTAAGTGATGTGTCCATAATCTGTTATTGTCAGTTCCCAGAATAGTACCCAGCTTCCTGATTTCCAGGCTAATTTTTCCACTACACCACACACTTGCAACTTGTAGGCATATCACTACCAGAAGATCGTTGTTTTACATACTTATCTGTATAAAATTATATTATTTATTCCTTTAGAATGTATTGAAGAGTTGTTTTATTATTTAGTGAATTTACAGTCAAGTAAATAATTCAAAACTCCCAAAGTGCTATGTTTTAATTATGTCCATATTTGACTATGTTGCCAAATATATCTATTTTTAATATAAAATAGAGTGTAAGACTGATAAAAACCAATGCAAATTGGATAATTTTGTTTAAATCTTTCATTATAGCCAGTAAAATATTGTCAAGTAGCTCATATTGGCCTAAAATATGTTTCTCTTCATTGCCACAGCTGTAAATTAAATCTGAATCTAATGTTTATGTATCTACTGCATACTTAGAATAAACCATGGCTTGAAGTCCCTTTTATAAATAATCAGTTTTGCTATTAATCAAGTTAAACATTTCAATAATATATGAAATACATTAGTTTCTTGGAGGAAAGTGTCAGCGGTAAAAGTATCATGGAAGCACTTAGCTCACTCAGTAAACAAAACTTGGGTGGAATAGTGACTGTAAAAGATTGAGTCAGGGAAAAAACAGCAATGTTATACAGAGGTCTTTTGGAATTTTCCCTTGAAGGTCTTTTTAACTATGTGCTAAATTGAAAAGCAACTATAATTTTACCAAACTGGAGAGAACTTAGGAAATAAAATATACCTAAAATCTGATTATTGCCATTACTAAGAACTATTATTTTTAAACCAAGATAAAATTTGGATTAATTAACTGTCTTAGACAATAATTGAGTTACCACACTAAGTGAATATATTATTAATGTTTATTATTTTAAAAGATCTTTGATTTAAATGTCACAAACTTTCTTATTCTAATAAAGAAGAAAGTTTATCAAAATCCAGTGGAGAACTAGCTTTTACATGAAATAAATCTATTTATTTTTCTTTCTTGGGATTCAGAGGCATGGGTTTCTGAGTCCTTGGGAAACCTGATAATATGCCATATGAGGGAAGAGAAGCTTATTTCTTCCAACTTTTCCCAAGTGTGTTAGTCTACAAATGTTTCTCCTCTGTATTGTCAAGATCTTTCTTCCAGATTTTTTTTTTTCTGTTCCATCTAAGTACAGGTTAAAAATGCCTCCAACCTTTACACATTCCCTAGCTCTTAAATCAGTCTGGTTATTCAGCCCTAGGAAGAATCTGTATTCGAAGTATCCATTGTTATGATTTTCTGCCCTGAGTTCATACATATTTATAAAAAACACTTTAAAGTGTAAATTATTTTGAGGTGTTATGCAGGGATCCTTAAGGAAAAGGGTAATATCAAAATCAACTTTGTGTCCTCAAAAACTAGAGAGTGCTTGTGAAATAATAGCAGTTTGGCAGTTATTGTTTGCGTGAACAATGAATGAACACTAAATTCACACTGTCGTAATTTACAAAGTATGTTTTGCCTTACAATATAGTAGTTTATAAACAGAGTGACCAAGTGCCTTGGTTTACCAGGATTGAGGAGTTTCCCAGAAAATGGGATTTTAATGCTAAATCTAGGACAGCCTCGGGCATGCTGGGATGATTTTTCAGCTTATTGGTATATAGAAAATGAAGAGAAGGAAGGGACAATAGAAACCTTCACTAGATCTGAAGAAAGGTAAGAATTATTTCTGTATCCTCCCATGCACCCCTGTGTTCTTGGTAACTTCTTTTAAAGTTTCCCTTGCCTGGAGGCTCTTGACCCTGTCTCACCACTTCTCTTCCTTCACTTACCCTAGGACACAGATGTACTCTGCCAAGCTCTAGCCTCAGATAGTCTTTTTTTTCTTGCTGTTCATTGAAACTCACCTATTTTATTCTATTGTTTGAGAGATTATACTCACACTACAATGAATAATGTTCTCATACACCCTAATCCTGGCATATATTCATTTTCGTGTTACTTATTCAACAAATATTTATTTGTTATCTACTATTTTTTAAGGATTGTTCAGGCCCTGAAGATAGGCAATATGAAAGGAGAGAGTGACAACCATAAAAAAAATACACATAGACATGAAAGCAAATATATAATTGATACTTATTGCTGGCTGTAGTAATGTTTTATAAAGTCACTGTGAACACTGAATTAATGAGTACTGAACCAGTGCTTCTAGGGCAAACACAGGTTTAGGTTCCCCTGAGTCTCTAGTCACAATATTTTTGTCAACCAATCAATACATAACTTTGTTCTATATGAGCTTCTGTTTTAAACTACATTATTTAAATATATTGTTGATTTGTTAACATTGAACTCATGGCCAACAGCACAACTGATGCCTGAGCAAAGCTTATCCGTATGCCTGTGGAGAACTTCAAAAGGGTTGTGAGCATTGATTTGGGGTTTACCAATAAATTATAGCAAGTCAGCAAGTTCTCAAACATGTAATACATAAATAGTAATGATTCATTATAATTCAAATAAAGATATTTTGGGAGAAGAGGAGGTAAAAAACAACCCAAGACTGATGGGTGGAAGATTCAGGGCAGGATTCACAAAAAGTAGTGTTTAACACAAGACCCTAATGGTGTGTGTAGACACAGATATGGGGCAGTCGAGGTGAGGGAAACAGCATATGTGGAGGCAAAGAAGGAAACCTTCATTTATTGTTTAAATGTAAAGGATGGAGTGAGAGGGTGAATACCATAAGTTGAGGTTGGAGGTTAAGGCAGGAGAATTGCCTGAATCCAGTAATTCAAGGCCAGCCTGGGCAACATAGCAAGACATTGTCTTAAAAAAAAAAAAAGGGGGGGGGGCAGGAAGGTAGTAAGGAGCCAGCTCAGAAGGGTTTACCATGACATGAAGTGTTTAAAGTTTATAAATCACAAAGAAATATTGGAGGCTTCTGAAAGAAAACAAGCAGAGTCATTAGATTTTCCCTTTAAAAAACTTCGCTGGCATCTCTGTGAAGGATGGATTGAAGAGGAAAGAGATGAGTCAAGAAAATCGGAAAGTAAGTGATAACAATGTAGTAATAATTAGGAGAAAAGTGGAGGTGCCTATATGAAGGCACTAATAATTGAGATATTAAGAAGAAGGACATAAATAATGATTAGGTTCTTCTTTGAGTTAATAAATAAGAGTTAATCAAAGTAAATTAATGATAGTTGATGTCAAGTTTGAGGCCAAATAGGAGAAAAAGTTTTGGATGTTGCGATACACCAAAATAAGAAATATAAGATCTCGTGTTCAGATTTGGTCAAATTACTTGTGGTGAATGGTAAATTCAGAAAACAATAGATAACAGAAATCTTAGCATAAGGGTCTGGAGCTCAGGAGAAGATTCAGAACAAGATACTTATTTGGGAATCTTTAGAGTAGAAATAGCCGATGTAGTTAAAGGCATGAAATAAATTGCCTGTGCAAAAGAACAGTCATACCTAATACTTATATTGTACATACTATATTATTGTTGTCACTCCCAATTTACAGGTGGGCCACAGAAAGAATACATGACTTTCCAAAGTCACATATCTGTCAAATAGTAGGGCCTAGATTTCAACCAAAGTAATATAGCTTCAGGTAACCTAGAAACCTCTTTGGGGTATGTCAGAATATAATAAATAGATAAGATAAAAAGATGCTGCAAAACAAAATCTTCAAAGAGAATACCAGGGAAGCAGGAATAACCAAAAGACTGATGATCTTCAACAAAGGTTCCAAGAACACACAATGGGGAAAGACAGTTTCCTCAGTTAAATGGTGTTAGGAAAACATGATGTCCATATGCAGAAAAATGAAATTGAACTCTTATCTCACCCCATATGCAAAAATCAACTTAAAGTCTTAAACATAAGATCTGAAACTGCAAAAATAAATTGACTGACCCCAAAAGTACAGGCAACAAAAGCAAAAATAGACAAATGAAATTATATCAAACTGAAACCTTCTGCATAACAAAGGAAATAATCAACAGAGTGAAGAGACAACCTACAAAATGGAAGAAAATATTTGCAAACTATGCATCTGAAGAGGGATTAATAAATAGAATATATAAGGAACTCAACCAATTAACAAAAAAATCCCAAATAATCACATTAAAAATGTGCAAATGACATGAATAGGCATTTCACAAAAGACAACATACAAATAAATAGTGAACTGATATATGAAGAAATGCCCAAAATCATTAATCATCAGGGAAGTACAAATCTAAACTACAATGAGATATCTCCTCTCACATGTTAGAATGTCTAATATTAAAATGATGGAAGATAATGAGTTAGGTAGGATATAGAGAAAAGGGAACCCTCACATACTGTTGGTGGAAATGTAATAGTATAGGCATTATGAAAAATGGTATGGATGTTCTTCAAATTGTTGAAAATAGAACAACCATACAACCATGTGATCCAGCAATTTTACTTCTAGGTATATCCAAAGAAAATAAAATCAGTATGTCAAAGAGATATCTGTAGATATCTGTATTCCCATGTTTCTTGTAGCATTATTCAGAATAGCTTATGTATAGAATCAACCTAGGTCTCTATCAATGATGAATGAATAAAGTACATATATATATGTATGTATATATGTATATATACACATACATAATTATAGATTATAGTTATAGAATATAGCATTCTATCATGTGTATATGTGTATATATGTACATGTTCTATAATATAGTGCCTATAGTAATATATAGTATTCCATTTTGTGTACCTGTACCATTCAGCCTTAAAAAACAAGGAAATCCTCTCATCTGCAATAACATGGTTGAAGCTACAGAATATTATACTAAGTGAAATAAGCCAAGCCAAAAAAAAATACTGTGTAATGTCACTTGTATGTGGAATCTAAAATGTCAAACTCATAGAATCAGAGTAAAATGGTGTTTACTCAGGGATTGGAGTTCATGGGAGGTGATGAGATGCTGGTTCAAGGATACAAAATTTGAGTTAGACAGGAGGGATATGTTCAGGAGACCTATTGTAAAGCATGATGACTATAGTTAATAACAATGTATTGTATACTTGAAATTGCTAAGAGAATAGATTTTAAACATTTCCACCATAATGGTAAATCATCGGTATGTGAAGTTATGAAAATAGCTTGATTTAGCAATTTTACAATGTATACCTATATCAAAACCTCATTTAAACTATAAATATTTACAATTTGTATTAGACAAATTAAACAATTTTTTTTTTTTTTAGACAGAGTTTCACTCTGTCACCCAGGCTGGAGTACAGTGGTGTGATCTCAGCTCACTGTGGCCTCCACCTCCCAAGCTCAAGCGAGTCTCCTGCCTTAGGCCCCTGAGTAGTTGGGATTACAGGTGCCCACTACCGCACCCGGCTAATTTCTGTAGTTTTAGTGGAGACAGGGTTTCTCCTTGTTGGCCAGGCTGGTCTCGAAATCCTGACCTAAAGTGATCCACCTGCCTTGGCCTCCCAAAGTGCTGGGATTACAGGTGTTAGTCACCGCACCCAGCCAAAAAATATTATTTTTTTAAGATAAAACAAAAAAGAACCAAGAAAAGCTCATTTCATAGAATTTGAAGGTGAAATTAGTTCAAGAAGGTCAGTCATCAGTGCTAGAAGTGGTACATCAATAAATAAAGAGAAAACTAAAATGTGTCTGTTGGAATTGAGACCTCCTAGGTCATTGGTAATCTTAGCAAAACTTAAGTTTTTCATGGTTTAAGAAATATAAGGAAAGATGCAATTTGTAGTACCTTTATCTTAAAACATTACTGTAAAAGAAAGGAGATTGGAAGGGATATAACAAAAGAGTATAGGCAAGGAAGAAGTGATGTTGAAAATAGAAAAAAAAATGATTGCAGCAGTAAGTTCTGGCGAAGGCTGAAGTGGATGAGATGAAGAGCACCATTAGAAAGTTATCTTCAAATTCTAAGGCACAGTTTAGAGATAATAAGGGCAGGTATAATATATATAAAGGAGAAAGTGAAAAACTTTGCACTAGATATTTTCTTTTCTTTGAAAAATAAAAAATAAAGCATATTTGTATTTTTAAAAAGAGATGAAATACTTTATCCTTAAAAAACAACTATACCCATTTCTAATAACAATGTTGTCAACCAGCATAACAGATGAGTAGGAGAGAAGGTTCTTTGGTCAAAGGGGATTTTATAGTACATCTTCATATCATGCTGTTGAGATGACTAAACTACACCTGACAAGCAGAATCTTGACTGAAAATTGAGTTATTTGGCAGAAAAAGAAAATTTAGTGCTAGGAAATTTTCTAGTGATGTTTCACTTTATTTATCTTAACAAAACCCAGAGTCCCAGGCTAACAGTGAAGAGCTACTCTTCTCTGGGTACTCCCATGTGTAAGCAAAATACACATAGGAATAAAGTCCCATTTGTTTTTGCCTGGGGCTTTGTAAATTAGACTGGCCAAACACCCTTAATCTGTGTTTGGCCAGTCTAATTTACAGAGCCCAGCTGGGGAATGTAAGATGGGTAGAGGAAAATATTTTTTCCTTTCCTACAGTTTTTATGATGAAAATGAGATAGCTGAGACACTTCGCTTGCTCCAGATGCAGTAGAAATCTAGGACCCTCTGACAACACCAGCCCAAGATGAATTCTTATTAAAGTCAGCGTCCCAGATTTCTGTCTGCAGGTTTCAATCAAGTAAGAGTGGGAAAAAGCCTCTGTCTTTTTTTTTTTTTTTTCAAATTTAGATTAACTGAAGAAAAAATAATTTGCTAAAATTTGTTCTTTGGATTGTGACTCCTGTGAATTTGTTCCCAGTATTTGTTGGTTATTGATCCTTTCTTTCCCTGGGACAGCTATTTCTATCCCAAGTTTCTCAGTTTGTGTCATGAGTACCTGGCTTGACTTTTTGCAAGGTTGTACATGCTGTCGGGCCTACACCTTAAGGCAGTCAAATGTCTGGTTGCAGATCCTGAGAATATGTAGATGGAGGGGCAGAAATGTGAGATGCACCTCCTTTGTGGCTGATATCCTACCAGTTGTTACCAGCTCAGAAGGTTGATCGAAGTCTTTGAGTCTATCTTTGGGAGTGAATCTGGATCAGAAAGGCTGCATCTTTTGAATACTCTTTGGAGACACCTCTTAGCTAAGCTACAAAGTGACTGATTGGTTTGGTGTTGGGTCACAATTAGAATAGGTATACTTTTCGCTTAAGAAAGAGTGAGGAGTGAACTAAATACTGCCAGGAATATTTACTGTTTGTCATGGCTGCATTTTTTCAGTACGCTATGGTCAGAAGTTGGCCTAATTCGGGGCAAATTTTCAGAGCCTAATATGAACTATGTTTAAGGCCTTTTCTCCTAAGCTAAAATATAATTGTGTACTTAGAATGAAAGAAAACATCCTAAAGTCTTTGTGGAATGATTTATTGAAACAGTTCAAAGGCACAAAGTTCTAAGTCTCTAACACGGGAATCTTTACATTTTCATCTTAGTTGGAACTCTTCTCCCTGATATAAAGAAGCAAACTCAAGGTAATATAACTGGATGGGTGGGTCCACCCTTTGATATCATTCAGGCTGCAACCGAGTTCTTTGAGGAATTAAAAACAACTGTCCAGTATAACAGCAACAAAGGAGAGAGGAATGAGTGCCTCCATCTGTCCACATGGCTGAAGCCCTGATCTTTGTTTCCTTTCTTGCCTTTAACACAGTTCTCCAACCCCTGTCATGTAGATGTGAGAAACACCATCATTTGACTTACATGTTGGCTTTCATCTCTGTTTTCCCTAGGGTTCTTCAAGCTGACAACCATTTCTTTCTCTGGATTAAAATCTCTATGCACCATAACTCCACAATAATTCATATAATTCTCCCCATATCACTGTCCAAAATACCAGATTCTGATGTTTATATTGTGCATGTGTCAGTCTCAGAAGTTGAGTATCATCATTCAAACCTCCCATTTGGCCTTCTTTCTGGTCTTTAATTTGGCTTCTTATCCAGGTTTTATTCCCTGTCCATTTTCTAGCTGTAATCTCTACTACTATTTGTTTTACCAATTCAATTTTCTTTTCTTTCTTATCCCAATCCCCTTGCTGTGTTTACTAGTCTTCCCTTCTACTTTTAATATTCTTATCAGATATACACAAGTTATGTGTGTATATATGGGCATAATGTGCAATTAAACATGTAATTGATACCCACTATTCAGTGCAGGTATTCATGTCTACCTAGCAAGGGCATGGGCCATAAACTGAAGATTTGCATCCCCCAAAAATTCCTATGTTGAGACCTAATATCTGATGTGATGGTATTTGGAGGTGGAGCTTTTGGGGGTGGGTTATGAGGGAGCAGCCCTCATAAATGGGATTAGTGTCTTTATACAAGAGGCCTTGAAAAATTCCCTTGCCCTTTGCCATGTTAGTTTATAGTGAGAAGATAGCTGTGTATGAGCCAGGAGGCAGGCCCTCACCAGAAACAAATCTGCTGGCACCTTGATTTTGGACTTTTTAGCCTCCAGAATTGTGAAAAATAAATTTATTTTATTTATAAGCCATCCATTCTATAGTATTTTGTTATAGCAGCCTGAATAAACTAAGATGGCATATGTAAGTAAGTTGTTGAACATTTGTGACTTGCTAATTTGTGGAGACATGGCCAGGAAATATATTGTATAATTTGACTAAGCTGGAAGGAACTATTGAAATCTTGTGGAAAGTTATGCCAGGAAGAGGTAGAGATAAACCTCTGCCAACCTCTTAGCATATCAAGATTCTCATAGAAAAGCATGGGATTTCCCATACACTTTTTGCTTTCTTTTCCCTGGCCAGATTCAATTCTTTCTTCCCATATCTTCAAAGCAGAAAAAGTCAGAATGATGAGTAAAGATTGCCTATGAACACACATACACACACAGAATCTGAAGAGTTTAGATTCTGCTTCTAAAAAGATTATTATTCTAATGGAAATATTTCTGATCCTGTTGCTTTAGGGATATCTCCACTTCAACAGTGATGTGAGAACTTTCCACAAAAAGGTCTAAGAGGGAAGTAAAGATACAGTTTGACAAGCCTCTCTGGGAAGCTTCAGTCTTTCTTGTAATATTGGATAATTGTGCAGTATGTATTAATCCACGGTTTGTTCACACAAGTCATTGTCAAATTTTAAGAAAAATGGACAGGAGATCATTTGGAATAAAGCATAAAATATTATTTATAACATTAATAACCATCTCATATCATGTCTTTTTCAATTTTTGTTCCTTGTAGGTCAGTCTTAGAACAAGATGTTCTCTCTAGTTCATTGTTTTTCTAAATACACATTGTATTAATTGCCTGTGATTCTCTTCTAGAATTCACTCTTTGGTGTGTAATCAATAGAATATAATCAGTCCTGCACTTTGGTCAGTTCAGACTATACAAATGCTGTTCTGGAAAAAAGTACAGCCTGCTCCCGCTAATAGTGTTACCTAACATATGTCCTGATTACAAACTTGGCTTCCTGGGGAGAAAGTGATCTATGCCAAAATGGAAAGTGTAATTTAGTCCTCTAAACCTCCAGGAGAGGTGGTTCTGTCTAATATGCCTCTTAGAAGGCAGTCATAATTTACTTAGCTTCTAGACACTATCACTCTTCACTTCTAGGCAGCAGAACAATATTTGACAAACAGACCCTCCTCAAACTTAGCAAAGAGCCTTTATTTGATATTTATTTGATACTCATTCCAAAAACAGCAATTGGTCTTAGCTGAAAGGCTAATGTTAAAACAGAAAAGTAACTAAATGTTTATGGAAATAAAAGGGCTTTGACTTCACAAATGAGAACGAAAAACTAAGTAGAGTACTATTAACAATTTCTTGACTGTGGTGAAATAACATAGATATTCTTATAACAGAGTTTAAGGGTTGGACTTGAAAGTCAGGGCTTGCTTTGTCAATTTGCAGCCTAAACCAATAGAGAATAAATGTCAGAATAACCCAATTTGGGTTCAAGTCCTATCTTTGTTCCCATGTGGCCTCAGACAAGATATTTAACCTCTCTGTGCCTCATTTTCCTCGTCTGTGAAATCTAGATCAAAATGGTACTGATTTCAAAGAGGTTGTAGGAATTAAATTTGCTAATATTCTTAACACACTTAGAACTGACACAAACTATGTTTTATATTAGTATGTGTAAAATAAAATATCCTTGGATAATTAATCTAATTTGGAATTCTAAGTTTTTTCATTAATAAATATAAATTAAAATTGTATTTACTTTATTAGATTATTAATGAATTAATATTTTACATTACATAAATACTAGCTTCTATAATTATAACCTATTAACAAAAACAAAATTAAATATCCATTTAGCAGTAGTAAGAATACTTATTACTGACATTTCCAATTTACTAATGGGCCAAAAGACAGTATTATTATTGTTAACAACTTGGAATTTAGATCAGACAGCCCAGATGTATATTTTCGTTCTGTTATTTACCAGCTTTGTGATAGCTGTAATAGTGTTAAGCCACACATTTACTCTCTGCCAGTCTTAGCTGCTGCTTCTGAAAAATGGGGCTAATAATTCCTATGTCTAAGGGTGGTTTTGAATACTAAATGAGATTATATCTGCAAAGTAGCTGGCACATAGTATGCATTCAATAATTGGTGGATATTAATAATTTCTTTAATTTTTATTATGTTCCCAGGTTTGAAAGTCATAACACATTGTTTTCCAAGAAGCTATATTTGAGATTGTTGCCAGTAAGTATCCTGGAACAGTCCATGTGAGACTATTTCACTCAAAAATTAACTAAAATGAAAATAACATTCCAATGGAAAATATAGTGGTCTAAGTAGTTACTTAGGAATTCTGGACTATGGGTACCCTCACTGGAAAGATCCCTCTTTGTGCAGTAGCATCTGTGGTGAGTTCTGTGTCCACAAGGGAGCAGATGCCCCCGTGAACAAGTAGCTCAGTAGCGGTCCTCTCTCCTGTGGATCTGCACAAACTGCATTGCTATTTCTCTCCCTTTAAAACCTCAGTTACAGAGTCTTGAGTTGAATATAGCCCACAGTTCATCACACATTATTATCATTGGTTTGTGCAAATCCACTCTCTTAGCCTAGCCCGCTATGTTTGTTGGGCTGGGGCAAGAGTATAAATGGAGACCTCAAGCTTCAGGTTCATAACTTACTTCTCTCTGCTCCCTGAACCACAACCAGCCTCAAGCAAATGCATGTGAATACCTCAGGCTACAACTCTGTATTCCATCCTCCATCACTGACTTCCTTTTTGGGCCTGGGAGTGCCACACTGAGGAAGACTCTCCTTGATCAAACTTTAATCAAGCTTTCTAATCTCTCCTCTCAACTAGGCTTTTACCTTGGGCTTTAGTGTCTATCCTTGTTGGGCCTGCATTGCCGAGTTTTAGCAATAATCCTATCTAGTCAATGTACCTAGGATCACTCACCCTTGATATTTTATCCCCCTAGATATCTAATCAAATTCCTCATTCCCAGCATCCCCCAGGTAATATCTGATCACCTGGCCTGCCTTCAGCAGGAATACTGTCAAGGCAGTTTAACCAGAACCTGCCACTTACCCTGATATTTCCTTAGTAATTTTCCATCCACTGGCCTCCCATGTAGCTCCTTGGCTACAAAACTCCACTTGTCCATGTCATATTCAGAATTGAGCCCAGCTCTATACTAAGGTCTCTTTTCTCCTATTGCAATAATTCCTTAATAAAATCTATTTTTACTGCTTTAACCATTTTCCAGGTCTGGGTTTTCTTTAATAACATCGTGGATTACTAGACTCAAGAAACAGAAATGCACAAGCCCTAGAAGTGTGCTTGAGTTTCAGGTACTGAGAAGAGGGGCAGAGCATGCTGCCCAATTCCTGGGGTCTTATGGCAGGTATTCCACTTTTAATTTCCTCTCTCTCCTTAAGCTATCATTTATTTATGTTAAATTTGTATATTTTGAAGTTTAACGAATATATTTGTGAACATGAGTGTTTCGGCTTTATAGGCATACATTGTTAATGTATAAAATGATAATAGTTTGGATATTTCAATCATTTCATTATTAAGTAAAAATATACTGTTCTTTTCCACTTACTTTTCATAGATTAGTTCTTTGTGAACCAATAAACCACAGTGTAAATATTCTATAATAATTTTGATTGGAATTACACTCAATTTATCTTCTGATTTGGAAAACTTAAAATCTTTTATTATAATATTAATAATAGCTTGTTCCATCCTAGCATATGATATCTCTACATCAATTTATCATCTGATTTGGAAAAACAAAATCTTTTATTATAATATTAATATTAGCTTGTTCCATCCTAGCACAGGATATCTCTACATTTGTTCAGATCATATTCCAGTTAAAGTTCTAATGTTTACTCCATAGAAACTGTATGCATTCTTGGCTAAATCCAAGATGTTTTATAATTTTTGTTATTTTTGCGTTTTAGTCCATTCTCACATTGCTATAAAGATGCTACCGGAGACTGGGTAATTTATAAAGGAGAGAGGTTTAATTGGCTCACAGTTCCACATGGCTGGGAGGCCTCAGGAAATTTACAATAATTGTGGAAGGTGAAGAGGAAGCAAGGCACATCTTACATGGTGACAGGAGAGAGAGAGAGGGAGAGGGGGGAAATGCCAAATACTTTTAAAACCATCAGCTCTCATGATAACTCCCTCACTATCATGAGAACAGCATGAGGGAAACCACCCCCCATGATCCAGTCACCTCCCACCAGGTCCCTTCCTTGACATGTGGGGATTACAATTGAGATGAGATTTGGGTGGGGACACTGAGCCAAACCATATTATGGTGTGATTAGAATTTATTTTTAATTTGGTATATAATTTTATTTGCTAATTCTGTTTTAAATAAATGCTATAGATTTTTAGGCTAATTTTGTATTTATATTAATAGATTTTGTTGACTAATTTTCCCCATTAGAAGATAAACATATAATCTATCAATAATGATGCATTTATCACTTCTTTTCCAATCCTTTTAATTATTGCCTACTTATCTTTCTTTTAATATTGAACAGGTCTCTCAGTACTATGTTAAACAGTAACGTTGATAATGGGCATCCCTGTTTTGTTCCTGAATCTAAAAGGAATGTAACAAAATTTTGTCCATATATTTGCTTTATATATTTGATTTATAACCTTTGCCGCTTTACAGGTTTTTTTTCTACTTAGAATTGGCTTAAAAATTAAGTAAAAAAATTATCGTTAATCTCTATCAAAAGTTTTTTTTTCCAGTTAGGATAATAGCTAGGTTTAATTCTATGTAGTCACTGGTAAATTGCATTTATCAATTCTTTTTTAAAAAATTTTATTGGGATATAATTCATGTACTATACAATTTACTTGTTTAAATTGTACAGTTCAATGGCTTTTAATATGTTCGCAGAGTTATAGATTCTTTTGTTATTTAACTATACTAGCTTTCTGGGATAAATCCTTACTTAATCAAGTTATTATCTGTCATTTTTAATGTATATTTTATTCAACTATTAAGTATTTATCAATTGATATGTAATGCAAAACTCAAAATTGTCATAAATTAAACTCACTTCTGCATCTGTCTTCCATATTGTGAAACAACATTCTTAGAATCCCAGAAGCCCTTATTCTCTTCCTGTTATTTCCCTTTCCCTGAGAGAAACCACTATGTTGACTAGAGATTACTTTTGCCTATTATTTCTTTATATAAATGGAATCATAAAGTGTTTATTTTTGTTCCTCACTTTTTTTTCAACCCTTATATTTTGAGATGGATCCATTTGTATGCAGTTAAAGTTTACTAATTCTCATTCCTGCCTGAAATTCCATTTGCATAAATGTACTATAATTTAATTACTCATTCAGCAGTAGAAAGAAATTTGGGATGTTTCCAACTTTTGACGATTAATAGTGCTGCTGTGAACATACTTGTCAGTGTATTTTTAAAAATGCAAGTATGCCTTTCTGTAGGGGCTGTGCTAGGAGTAGTATTGATGAGTTATAAGATATATCATGCTCAGCCTTTGCAGATTTTGCCAAACAGTTTTACAATATTTGCTTCTGTTGGCTATTTTTTTTTTTTTTGAGACAGACTCTTGCTCTGTTGCCCAGGCTAGAGTGCAGTGGCATGATCTTGGCTCACTGCAACCTCCACCTCTCAGGTTCAAGTGATTCTCACTTATAATTGGGAGGCAAATGATGAGAACACATGGACACATAGAGGGGAACAACAAACACTAGGGCATTTCAGAGGGTGGAGGGTGGGAGGAGGGAGAGGATCAGAAAAAAATAACTAATGGGTATTGGGCTTAATACCTGATGATGAAATAGTCTGTATGACAAACCCCCATGACACAAATTTAGCTATGTAACAAAACTGTACTTGTACCCCTGAACTTAAAATAAAAGTTAAAAAAATTAAAAAAAGAAATAGAAGCTATGTCTAGTGATGAGAGTGAAGGAGGAGTAGAGAAGAGCAGAGATTTAAAAAAATATTAATGGAATTCAGATCTCTCCTTCTAGTTATTTCTGGGGTCCAGCCACATCCTTGTCTTGTATCTTATTACGCATATAACAAATTCCCTTTTTAGCTTAAACTAAAAAATAAAAAATCTTCTTATAGGCTAATACTTGATCTATTTTTGTGAGTCTTTTATATTTGCTTCAAAATGCATATTATCTGTCTTATGAATGTGTTGTTACAGTATTATATATAGTTACTGTATTCTTCACTTATTCTTTTGCTACTTGTACTATCAGCTCCCAGGAATAATGTATTAAAATAGCCAACTAGGAGAAATAGGAACACTTTTACACCATTGGTGGGAGTGTAAATTAGTTCAACTATTGTGGAAGACAGTGTGGTGATTCCTCAAGGATCTAGAATCAGGAATACCATTGGACCCAGCAATCTCAGTACTGGGTATATACCCAAAGGATTATAAATCATTCTACCATAAAGACACATGCATACATATGTTTATTGCAGCACTAATTACAATAGCAAAGACTTGGAACCAACCCAAATGCCCATCAATGTTAGACTGGATAAAGAAAATGTAGCACATATACATCATGGAATACTGTGCAGCCATGAAAAATAATGAGTTCATGTCCTTTGCAGGGACATGGATGAAGCTGGAAAACACCATTCTCAGTAAACTAACACAGGAACAGAAAACCAAACACCACATGTTCTCACTCATAAATGGGAGTTGAACAATAAGAACACATGGACACAGGGAGGAGAACATCACACACCGGAGCCTGTTGGGAGGTGAGGTGCGAGGGGAGGGAGAGAATTAGGACAAATACCTAATGCACGTGGGGCTTAAAGCGTAGGTGATGGGTTGATGGGTGCAGCAAACCACCAGCGCACATGTATACCTATGTAACAAACCTGCATGTTCTGCACCTGTTTTGCAGAACTTAAAATAAATTTTAAAAATAGCCAGTTAAAGTTATTGATTCATTTAGTTTTTCCTAAATGAATCATCCAGTTATTGCTTAGATTTTGTGATATTCAATACATATGCATTTAAAGTGGATGTACTTTGTCTTTCTATTATGACTCTCCTCTGATTTTAATACCATTTTTTGCCCCTTTACATTTGCAAACTTATTACGCAAACCTTCAAAAATACATAGAAATAGGGAGAAAATAAGTTCCCTGCGTCCATCAGCTAGCTTCAGCAACTATTATTTCAAAAGTATATATTCTACTCTTTCTTTTTTTTTATTCTAAAAATTATTTCAACCTTTAATGTTTGGCTTAACAGATAAAAATGTCTTTAAATATAATCACTAAGCAGCTTATATTTCTTCACCTAGAACATATTTTGTCAGATATTAACTATTTTTTGCTCATTTTTGCTCTGCATTTTTTCCTTTAAATAATACTTTATTATTTAAAGCCATTTTAGGTTTGCAGCAAAATTTAGTAGGAAGTACGAAGATTTTCTACTATCCCCACACATGCATAGCCTTCTCCCACTATCAAGGTTCTCTACCACCATGGTACATTTATTACAATCAATAAGCCTACATTGACACATCATTATTACCCAAAGTCCATAGTTTACATTAGGGTTTACTCTTGGTGTTGTCTATTCTATGGGTTGGGACAAATGTATAATGGCATGGAGCCACTCTTACAGTATCATAAGAATAATTTCACTGGCCTAAAAATCCTCTGTGCTCTGCTTCAATTTCATTTAGTTCTGTTCTGATCTTAGTTATTTGCTTTCTTTTGCTGGGTTTGGGTTTGGCTTGTTCTTGTTGCTCTACTTCCTTGAGGTTTGACCTTAGATAGTCTGTGCTGTTTCAGACTTTTTAATGTAGGCGTTTAGGGCTATGAAATTTCCTCTTAGCACCACCTTTGCTGTGTCCCAGAGGTTTTGATAGGTTGTGTCACTATTGTCGTTCAGTTTGATGAATTTTTTAAATTTCCATCTTGACTTCATTTTTGGTCCAATGATCATTCAGGAGCAGGTTATTTAATTTCCGTGTATTTGTGTAGTTTTGAAGGTTCCTTTTGGAGTTGATTTTCAGTTTTTTTCCACTGTGGTCTGAGTGCTTGATATATTTTCAATTTTCTTATATTTATTGAGGCTCATTTTGTGGCCTATCATATGGTCCTATCTTGGAGAAAGTTCCATGCTTTGTTGAATAGAATGTGTATTCTGTGGTTGCTAGATGGAATGTTCTGTATATATTTGTTAAGCCCATTTGTTCCCAGGTATAGTTTAAATTGATTGTTTCTTTGTTGACTTTCTGTCTTGATGACCTGTCTAGTGCTATAAGTGAAGTATTGAAGTCCCCCACTATTGTTGTGTTGCTGTCTATCTCATTTCTTAGGTCTATTAGTAATTGTTATATAAATTTGGGAGCTCCAGTGTTAGGTGCATATATGTTTAGAATTGTGATACTTTCCTGTTGGACAAGGCCGTTTATCATTATATAATGTCCCTCTTTGTCTTTTTTAACTGCCATTGCTTTAAAGTTTGTTTTGTCTGATATAAGAATAGCTACTCCTGCTCACTTTTGGTGTCCATTTGCCTGAAAAGTCTTTTTCCACCCCTTTACCTTAAGTTTGTGCAAGTCCTTATGTTTTAGGTGAGTGTCTTGAAGGCAGCAGATGGTTGGTGAATTCTTATCTATTCTGCTATTCTGTATGTTTTAAGTGTCGCATTTAGGCCATTTACATTCAATGTCAGTATTGAGATGTGAAGTACCATTTAATTTATTGTGCTATTCATTGCCTGTGTACCTTGGTTTTTTGTTTTTTAAATTGTTTTTTTTTCTAGGTCCTGGGAAATTTATGCTTTAAAAAGCTTCTGTTTTGATGTGTTTCCAGGATTTGTTTCAAGATGTAGAGCTCCTTTTAGCAGTTCTTGTAGTAGTGGCTTGGTAGTGGCAAATTCTCTGAGCATTTGTTTGTCTGAAAAATACTGTATACTTCATATATGAAGCTTAGTTTCTCTAGATACAAAATTCTTGGCTAATTGTTTTGTTTGAGGATGCTAAAGATAGGGCTCCAATCCTTTCTAGCTTGTAGGGCTTCAACTGAGAAATCAGTTGTTTATCTAACAGGTTTTTTTTTTGTTTGTTTGTTTGTTTGTTTTTTTATAGGTTACCTGGTGCTTTTGTCTCACAGCTCTTAAGATTCTTTCCTTCATCTTAACTTTAGATAACCTGATGACAATGTGCCTAGATAATGATCTTTTTGCAATTAATTTCCCAGGTGTTCTTTGTGTTTCTTGTATTTGGATGTCTAGGTCTCCAGCAAGGCCAGGGAAGTTTTCCTTGATTATTTTC
Source organism: Homo sapiens (assembly GCF_000001405.40). Lineage (NCBI taxonomy): Eukaryota > Metazoa > Chordata > Mammalia > Primates > Hominidae > Homo > Homo sapiens. Next base: position 84,979,939 of record NC_000007.14, read on the forward strand.
TCAAATATGTTTTCCTAACTTTTAGATTTCTCTTCTTCCTCAGGAACATCAATTATTCTTCGGTTTGATCGTTTAACATAATCCAAGACTTCTTGGAGGCTTCTTTCAATTTTCTTATTCTTTTTTCTTTGTCTTTGTTGGATTGGGTTAATTCAAAGACCTTGTCTTTGAGCTCTGAATTTCTTTCTTGTACTTATTCTATTGCTGAGACTTTCCAGAGAATTTTGCATTTCTATAAGTGTGTCCATTGTTTCCTGAAGTTTTTATTGTTTATTATTTATACTGTCTATTTCCTTGAATATTTCTCCCTTCACTTATTGTATCATTTTTTTGGATTTCGTTACATTGAGCTTTGCCTTTTTCTGGTGCCTCCTTGATTAGCTTAAAAACTAACCTCCTGAATTCTTTTTTAGGTAAATCAGGGATTTTTTTCTTGGTTTGGGTCCATTCCTGGTGAACTAGTGTGATTTTTTGGAGGTGTTAAAGAACCTTATTATAGTACCAGAGTTGGTTTCTGGCTCCTTCTCACTTGGGTAGGCTCTGTCAGAGGAGAGGTCTAGAGCTGAAGGCTGTTGTTCACATTCTTTCGTCCCACAGGGTGTCCCCTTGATGTAGTATTCTCCCCCTTTTCCTATGGATGTGGCTTCCTGAGAACTGAGCTGCAGAAATTCTCTCTTCTGGATCTAGCCACCCAGCAAGTCTACCAGGCTCTGTGCTGATACTGGGGATTGTCTGCATAGAGTTCTGTGATGTGATCTGTCTGTGGGTCTCTCTACCATGGATACCAGCAACTGTTCTGGTGGAGGTGGCAGGGGGGTGAAATGGACTCCATGAGGGTTCTTAACTTTGGTGGTTTAATGCACTATTTTTGTGCTGATTGTCCCCCTGCCAGGAGCTGCAGCTTTCTCAAAAGCATCAGCTGTGGTAGGATGGAGAGGAACCAGTGGTGGGCAGAGCCCTAGAACTCCCAAGAGTATATGCCCTTTGTTTCCAGTTACCAGGGTGGGTAGGGAAGGACCATCAGGTGGGAGCAGGGCTAGGCATATCTGAGCTCAGATTCTCCTTGGGCAGGTCTTGCTGCAGCTGCTGTGGGATATGGGGGTGAAGTTCCCAGGTCAATGGAGTTATGTTCCTAGGAGGATTATGACTGTTTCTACTGTGTCATGCTGGTTGTCAGGAAAGTGGGGGAAAGCCAGCAGTCACAGGCCTCACCCAGCTCCCATGCAATCTGAAGGTCCGGTCTCACTCCCACCATGCCCCGCCCCCAACAGCACCCAGTCTGTTTCCAGTCAGTGGGCGAGCTGTGCTGAGAACTTGCCCCAGGCTACCCACATCCCAGCTGCAAAACCAAATATGGCTTTCCTTCTTCCCCTGCCTGTGGAGTCTGTACACTGAATTCACTCCCTCCCCTGAGTTCTGGCCAGGAGGCTTCTTGATCAATTCAAACTGTTACAAAGCTCAGCTGGAGATTTCCTTCTCCCCGTGGCCTTTTTGCAGTGCCTCTGGCTGCCATCCCAAAGGACCCCTGTGAGGTCAGACAAAAACAGCTTACTAGGGAACCCAGGAAGCTCCCAGGGCTTTTTCTGCTGCTTCCTCTACCTCTGTATTTCACTCGGTTCTCTAAATTGACTCAGCTCCAAGTAAGGTCAAAATCTTCTCTCATAATCTAGGCCCTCAGTTTCCTCAGTGGAGGGGTGTGTTCGAGGATGGATGATCCCCCTTTCCCACTTCCACAGTTTGGGCACTCATGGTATTTGGGTTGTCTCCCAGGTCCTGCAGGAACAATCCACTTCCTTCAGGGGCTCTGTGAGTCCTCTCAGACTTGCTGATTTATATCTGCATTCATTCTGGAGCAAAAATTCATGATACAAGCCTCCACACACTGCTCTGCCCATCCCAGTTGGAGCTTCAATCTAGTCCTGCCTCCTGTCTGCCATGATCCCTGTGGACTCTTTGCTCAGTATTTTTAATATATATTTGTCTTCATTATTTCTGTATCTTTTTGCTTTATATTTATTTCTTATTCATAACTTGTTAGAATTTTTTAAGCCCATCTGAATTCTTTGTCTTTTAATTCATAAATTTAATGTTTTTTTTTTCCATTTGTTCTACATATCATATTAGGTCACATTTCCATTCCGTTGTTTCATATTTGATACATATGATCCACACTCATTCCTTTCTTTTGTTCTCCTGCTTTTTCCTGGATAAAAATAGTTCTCTTCCATTAGTTTAAATGACATTATTATTATTTTATTTCTATAGTGGTTGTCCTTAAGACATACATGTATTCACTGTTATGATTTCTTACACTTATTAGTATCTATGTTTCCTCACTTGTAAAATAAGAATTGAACACTTTTATTTTCCTTTGGTTCCTATCACCCTTCACACCATCCTGTTGACATTGTCTTTAGCATTTCTTTAGGGTTAAATCAGAACTTTATCTAATTTGCCATCTTGGCAAGAGATGCCACAAAATACTTCTCTATGTTATTCACTCCCTTGGTTAGAGTAAATGGAAAATAGAGAAGAATTGTCTAGGCAGTGTGATTTTCCTTCTTAGATTGCATAGATATACATCTATATCATATAAATCTCAGTTAACTCTCTACATACAGAAATATATTAATTTTTATATTTTTGTTAAATTATTTGTATACTTATATAAAATGATGCTGTATGAATATTAAATAACCAAAAGAGATGATTTTTGTTTGTTATTTGTTGTTTGTTGTTTTTATGTAATCACAAAGCAAAGAGCTCCAAGTTTTATTAATGACTAGAAATGTTTGTTTCTGAGGAGCTGGTCCAAAAGAGCTGTTTTCTGTTTATCAAGTTACATGTATCATTTTGGTTTCAAATTCAAATCAAAATTCTCATATATCAGTGTTTTATTTTTTAAAATACATAATGCATTTTATTGTTACTCTTTAAGTCAATGACAGAAATTAACTTTATTATTAAGTTGGTGTAAAAGTAATTGAGGTTGTTGCCATTACTTTTAATGGCAAAACCACAATTACATTTGCACCAACTTAATATTTTGCTGTTAACAGATCAAATATGTAAATATATCCAATATGCCTAATTCAACTACATTTTTGAGACAATAGATACTGGTAGAAAATGGATGAGAAACTGTTATAATTTTGGTTTGGTCTCATTTAGCACTGAGATTTAAAGTTCTAATAGAATTTTTTCAAGAAGACTGTATCTAAGACTTTGTGCTCTTTAATGTAAATAAAACAGAAAAATACTATGAAAAAAATAATTTAAAATATTTTTAACCAAAAGCTGTCAGAGAAATCTGTCACTATTTTACTGTGCCATGAATTTACATCTTTAAAGCCATCTTCAAAGACCTCTTCAAAGTCCCTGTGCTTAAAGAAACCATCTATTACAAATTCTATGGGCCCCCTGTCTATCAGATTGAAACTGTGTATTTTATGGCACTGAGTCCACCTAAGTCAAAGCAATTTGACAAAACAAAACAAAACAACAACAACAAAAAAACACATCAGTTTGTAATTGTTTTCTTTAAAACAGATGAACACCTTTCTGCCCGTGGACGCCGCCGAAGAAGCATCGTTAAAGTCTCTCTTCTCCCTGCCGTCATGTCTAAGTCAGAGTCTCCTAAAGAGCCCAAACAGCTGAGGAAGCTCTTCATTGGAGGGTTGAGCTTTGAAACAACCAATGAGAGTCTGAGGAGCCATTTTGAGCAATGGGGAACGCTCATGGACTGTGTGGTAATGAGAGATCCAAACACCAAGTGCTCCAGGGGCTTTGGGTTTGTCACATATGCCACTGTGGAGGAGGTGGATGCAGCTATGAATGCAAGGCCACACAAGGTGGATGGAAGAGTTGTGGAATCAAAGAGAGCTGTTTCAAGAGAAGATTCTCAAAGACCAGGTGCCCACTTAACTGTGAAAAAGATATTTGTTGGTGGCATTAAAGAAGACACCAAAGAACATCACCTAAGAGATTATTTTGAACAGTATGGAAAAATTGAAGTGATTGAAATCATGACTGACCGAGGCAGTGGCAAGAAAAGGGGCTTTGCCTTTGTAACCTTTGACGACCATGACTCTGTGGATAAGATTGTCATTCAGAAATACCATACTGTGAATGGCCACATCTGTGAAGTTAGGAAAGCCCTGTCAAAGCAAGAGATGGCGAGTACTTCATCCAGCCAAAGAGGTCAAAGTGGTTCTGGAAACTTTAGTGGTGGTCGTGGAGGTGGTTTCAGTGGGAATGACAACTTTGGTCATGGAGGAAACTTCAGTGGTCGTGGTGGCTTTGGTGGCAGCCGTGGTGCTGGTGGATATGGTGGCAGTGGGGATGGCTATAATGGATTTGGTAATGATGGAAGCAATTTTGGAGGTGGTGGAAGCTACAATGATTTTGGCAATTACAACAATCAGTCTTCAAATTTTAGACCCATGAAGGGAGGAAATTTTGGAGGCAGAAGCTCTGGCCCCTATGGCGGTGGAGGCAATACTTTGCAAAACCAAGGTGGCTATGGCAGTTCCAGCAGCAGCAGTAGCTATGGCAGTGGCAGAAGATTTTAATTAGGAAACAAAGCTTAGCAGGAGAGGAGAGCCAGAGAAGTGACAGGGAAGCTACAGGTTACAAGAGATTTGTGAACTCAGCCAAGCACAGTGGTGGCAGGGCCTAGCTGCTACAAAGAAGACGTGTTTTAGACACATACTCATGTGTATGGGCAAAAAACTCGAGGACTGTATTTGTGACTAGCTGTATAACAGGTTATTTTAATTTCTATTCTGCGGAAAGTGTAAAGCATTCCAACAAAGGGTTTTAATGTAGTTTTTTTTTTGCACCCATGCTGTTGATTATTAAATGTAATAGTCTGATTGTGACACTGAATAAATGTCTTTTTTAAAAAAAATAAAATAAAACCGATGAACATTCAAAATGAAAATAGAGCTTAATCAATTTACCAACTGTATTTAAAAATAGGTACGGGGGTATGAATTTTAGAAAATGCTTTCATGTGGTGGAATTTTTTCTTACTAGTTTTTATAATAACAAATCATAATTTAAGGAAAACTTGTTGTTTTGTAAAAGTTTTAACTTTTTAGTTGATACAGATTGCAGTAGATATTAAGAATAAAGATTTAGTCCTTAATAAATTTAGTTTCTGATAAATGGAAATTCATCAACTTTAAGCTCTTAAATACCTTAGAGACATCTCATTGGGATAGAGAGAAATTAATGTTGACTTACATCAAGATATACACTAATTTTAGCACCAAGTTGACCATCCCTTTCTGTTTATGTTCACTGCATTCCCTACTACATTGCTTCTGTCATCTCTAGGCCAGAAACCACAAAGTAACCCCAACTTTCATTTTGTCTGAACACCAAACCCATGTATAAAACTGCCTACCAGATACACCTCAAAACATCTCAGACTCATAGAGTTCAATGCTGAAACCATGTTCTCCCAATCCCATCCTGTTTCCCCCACTGTACTTCCTCTTATTTTTAAATGGCACTAACATCCACCCAGTTGCACACCGGGAACATCAAGGAGTCATTTTTAATTCTATGCTTATTTTTCACATGTGAAAATGCTGAAATCTCACTATGCCACTTCTCTGCTTAAAAATACCAAAATGTCTCCCCCTGCCTACAGGATTAAATTGCTACATAGTCTGAACAAGCAACTTTCTAATAATCAGACCCTTGTCTTGTCAAACTTTCTGTAATTTTCAACACATGAATAAAATGTGGTAATACTCACTCTTACTTTTGGCCATAGCTACTGAAACCGAAGGCTACTTCCAAATATCTTTAAAGACTAATTACAACAACACAAATTACCACAGGAGATTCAAAGTTTTTTGTTTATTTGTTTTTCAGTGGTAAAAATGACTTGCAAGAAAGAGCTAGAATTTAAACACAATTCAATAATTGGAGATAATTGCACAACAGTAATTTGTTTTAATGTATTAAAAGCTTAGAGAAATATCACCCATTAGACAACCATTTTCCTGATTCTAAATAACTTTTCATCTAGTAAATTAGTCTCATTTTCTCCTTATCTATGTTTTTATACTTTAAATTAATACTATCAGAATATGCTACCCTATACTTCTAAAATACTTGTTTAAATATTCTAGCTCCTCACTAGCAGAATCCAATAAAATTGAGAATTTGCAAAGGTCCAAAATGTTGGGCTAAATTTTGGCCTATGTCTACACATAAAATTTTCATAGCGAATTAAAAGTGAAAATTAAATTGATATAGAATCGTTCTTTAAGAAAATAACCATGTATGAGACTATGTAAAGACTTCTAACATGATGTAAATATTTCTCTTTATGCTTCTGGTTACATAAAGAGCATGAGTTGGTTTATAAACTTGATTTGTAAGCCAGGAAGAATAAACTTTATATTTTAAACATAAACCTTAAACAGTATTCAATCCAAGAAAAGGCCAGCTCAGCTGTTCAGAGTCTTCTGGAATATTAAGCAAATAGCTTGATATCCTAGATGTCTCAGGCATTTTCATAACAATATGCTGTTACTTTGAAGACTAGACATTATTCCTGGATCTCTGAGGTCAACCAAGGTCTTAGTTGACATATTTTTAAAATAATCAGGGCATCCAAGAAAGTCCATGTTGTAAGAGCAACTGGAACTGTATCTACTGTATAATAGCTGAATTTTTACTATTTCTGTTATTCTTTTTTCTCTTTACCTCTCTGTCTTCAGAATTTACTACTGAGTAATTTGTTCTTTTGTTGAGATAGAGATCCTTTATGTACTTTTTATTTGAACTATTTCAAGCACACAATTATGTTGACAGTAATATAGAGTACTAAAATTGTAATCTAGCACTCAACTTTTTAAAATTCAACATTTTACTATATTGGGTTTAGATTTAAAAAAAAAAAATTTTAGGTCAGGTGCAGTGGCTCACAACTGTAATCCCAGCACTTTGGGAGGCCGAGGCGGGCGGACCACAAAGTCAAGAGAGGGAGACCATCCTGGCTAACACGGGGAAACCCCGTCTCTACTAAAAATACAAAAAAATTAGCTGGGCATGGTGGCGGGTGCCTGTAGTCCCAACTACTCGGGAGGCTGAGGCAGGAGAATGGTGTTAGCCCAAATCGTGCCACTGCACTCCACCCTGGGTGACAGAGCAAAACTCTATCTCAAAAAAAAAAAAAAAAAAAAAGAAAAAAAAGAGGAATTTTAAAAGCTATTGAAACAATTGTAGCTCCCTATGTCCTCATCTTTTCCTTAGATACTTAGAGGAAAATTTATTTCCAATTTAGTACTTAACTTTTCCAGAAATTGTTTTTATATGTTTACTACTTACATATGAGCATATGTACCATAAGCAGTATCATTTGCTTCTTTAAACTTGATATACCCAGGACAATTTTTTTTTGTATCCCTAGACTCCTTGATTTTATTTGTTTAACATTATGTTTTTGAGATTTTTCTATGATAATACATACAACTTTTTTCTTTTATTATTATTATTATACAAGTTTTAGGGTACATGTACACAACATGCAGGTTTGTTACATATGTATACATGTGCCATGTTGGTGTGCTGCACCCATTAACTCGTCATTTAGCATTAGGTATATCTCCTAATGCTATCCCTCCCCACTCCCCCACCCCACAACAGTCCCCGGTGTGTGATGTTCCCCGTCCTGTGTCCATGTGTTCTCATTGTTCAATTCCCACCTATGAGTGAGAACATGCGGTGTTTGGTTTTTTGTCCTTGCAATAGTTTGCTGAGAATGATGGTTTCCAGCTTCATCCATGTCCCTACAAAGGACATGAACTCATCATTTTTTATGGTTGCATAGTATTCCACGGTGTATATGTGCCACATTTTCTTAATCCAGTCTATCATTGTTGGACATTTGGGTTGGTTCCAAGTCTTTGCTATTATGAATAGTGCCGCAATAAACATACGTGTGCATGTGTCTTTATAGCAGCATGATCTATAATCTTTTGGGTATATACCCAGTAATGGGATGGCTGGGTCAAATGGTATTTCTAGTTCTAGATCCCTGAGGAATCACCACACTGACTTCCACAATGGTTGAACTAGTTTACAGTCCCACCAACAGTGTAAAAGTGTTCCTATTTCTCCACATCCTCTCCAGCACCTGTTTTTTCCTGACTTTTTAATGATCGCCATTCTAACTGGTGTGAGATGGTATCTCATTGTGGTTTTGATTTGCATTTCTCTGATGCCCAGTTATGGTGAGCATTTTTTCATGTGGTTTTTGGCTACATAAATGTCTTCTTTTGAGAAGCGTCTGTTCATATCCTTCACCCACTTTTTGATGGGGTTGTTTGTTTTTTTCTTGTAAATTTGTTTGAGTTCATTGCAGATTCTGGGTATTAGCCCTTTGTCAGATGAGTAGGTTGCAAAAATTTTCTCCCATTCTGTAGGTAGCCTGTTCACTCTGATGGTGGTTTCTTTTGCTGTGCAGAAGCTCTTTAGTTTAATTAGATCCCATTTGTCAATTTTGTCTTTTGTTGCCATTGCTTTTGGTGTTTTAGACATGAAGTCCTTGCCCATGCCTATGTCCTGAATGGTATTGCGTAGGTTTTCTTCTAGGGTTTTTATGGTTTTAGGTCTAACATGTTAGTCTTTAATCCATCTTGAATTAATTTTTGTATAAGGTGTAAGGAAGGGATCCAGTTTCAGCTTTCTACATATGGCTAGCCAGTATTCCCAGCACCATTTATTAAATAGGGAATCCTTTCCCCATTGCTTGTTTTTCTCAGGTTTGTCAAAGATCAGATGGTTGTAGATATGTGGCATTATTTCTGAGGGCTCTGTTCTGTTCCATTGGTCTATATCTCTGTTTTGGTACCAGTACCATGCTGTTTTGTTACTGTAGCCTTGTAGCATAGTTTGAAGTCAGGTAGCATGATACCTCCAGCTTTGTTCTTTTGGCTTAGGATTGACTTGGCAATGTGGGCTCTTTTTTGGTTCTACATGAATTTTAAAGTAGTTTTTTCCAATTCTGTGAAGAAAGTCATTTGTAGCTTGATGGGGATGGCATTGAATCTATAAATTACCTTGGGCAGTATGGCCATTTTTACGATATTGATTCTTCCTATCCATGAGCATGGAATGTTCTTCCATTTGTTTGTATCCTCTTTTATTTCATTGAGCAGTGCTTTGTAGTTCTCCTTGAAGAGGTCCTTCGCATCCCTTGTAAGTTGAATTCCTAGGTATTTTATTCTCTTTGAAGCAATTGTGAATGGGAGTTCACTCATGATTTGGCTCTCTGTTTGTTATTGGTGTATAAGAATGCTTGTGATTTTTGCACATTGACTTTGTATCCTGAGACTTTGCTGAAGTTGCTTATCAGCTTAAGGAGATTTTGGGCTGAGACGATGGGGTTTTCTAGATCATGTCATCTGCAGACAGGACCAATTTGACTTCCTCTTTTCCTAATTGAATGCCCTTTATTTCCTTCTCCTGCCTGATTGCCCTGGCCAGAACTTCCAACACTATGTTGAATAGGAGTAGTGAGAGAGGGCATCCCTGTCTTGTGCCAGTTTTCAAAGGGAATGCTTCCAGTTTTTGTCCATTCAGTATGATATTGGCTGTGGGTTTGTCATAGATAGCTCTTATTATTTTGAGATATGTCCCATCAATACCTAATTTATTGAGCGTTTTTTGCATGAAGGTTGTTGAATTTTGTCAAAGGCCTTTTCTGCATCTATTGAGATAATCATGTGGTTTTTGTCTTTGATTCTGTTTATATGTTGGATTATTCTGTTTATATGCTGGAGCATTGATTTTCATAGGTTGAACCAGCCTTGCATCCCAGGGATGAAGCCCACTTGATCATGATGGATAAGCTTTTTGATGTGCTGCTGGATTCGGTTTGCCAGTATTTTATTGAGGATTTTTGCATCAATGTTCATCAAGGATATTGGTCTAAAATTCTGTTTTTGTTGTGTCTCTCCCAGGCTTTGGTATCAGGATGATGCTGGCCTCATAAAATGAGTTAGGGAGGATTCCCTCTTTTTCTATTGATTGGAATAGTTTCAGAAGGAATGGTACCAGCTCCTCCTTGTACCTGTGGTAGAATTTGGCTGTGACTTCATCTGGTCCTGGACTTTTTTTGGTTGGTAAGCTATTAATTATTGCCTCAATTTCAGAGCCTGTTATTGGCCTATTCAGAGATTCAACTTCTTCCTGGTTTAGTCTTGGGAGAGTGTATGTGTCGAGGAATTTATCCATTTCTTCTAGATTTTCTAGTTTATTTGCGTAGAGGTGTTTATACCATTCTCTGATGGTAGTTTGTATTTCTGTGGGATCGGTAGTGATATCCCCTTTGTCATTTTTTATTGCATCTATTTGATTCTTTTCTCTTTTCTTCTTTATTAGTCTTGCTAGTGTTCTATCAATTTTGTTGATCTTTTCAAAAAACCAGCTCCTGGATTCATTGATTTTTTGAAGGGTTTTTTTTTGTGTCTCTATTTCCTTCAGTTCTGCTCTGATCTTAGTTATTTCTTGCCTTCTGCTAGCTTTTGAATGTGTTTGCTCTTGCTTCTCTAGTTCTTTTAATTGTGATGTTAGGGTGTCAATTTTGGATCTTTCCTGCTTTCTCTTGTGGGCATTTAGTGCTATAAATTTCCCTCTACATACTGCTTTGAATGTGTCCCAGAGATTCTGGTATGTTGTGTCTTTGTTCTCACCGTTTTCAAAGAACATCTTTATTTCTGCCTTCATTTCGTTATGTACCCAGTAGTCATTCAGGAGCAGGTTGTTCAGTTTCCATGTAGTTGAGCGGTTTTGAGTGAGTTTCTTAATCCTGAGTTCTAGTTTGATTGCAGTGTGGTCTGAGAGACAGTTTGTTATAATTTCTGTTCTTTTACATTTTCTGAGGAGTGCTTTACTTCCAACTATGTGGTCAATTTTGGAATAGGTGTGGTGTGGTGCTGAAAAGAATGTATATTCTGTTGATTTGGGGTGGAGAGTTCTGTAGATGTCTATTAGGTCTGCTTGGTGCAGAGCTGAGTTCAATTCCTGGATATCCTTGTTAACTTTCTGTCTTCTTGATCTGTCTAATGTTGACAGTGGGGTGTTAAAGTCTCCCATTATTATTGTGTGGGAGTCTAAGTCTCTTTGTAGGTCACTCAGGACTTGCTTTATGAATCTGGGTGCTCCTGTATTGGGTGCATATATATTTAGGATGGTTAGTTCTTCTTGTTGAATTGATCCCTTTACCATTATGTAATGGACTTTTTTGTCTCTTTTGATCTTTGTTGTTTTAAAGTCTGTTTTCTCAGAGACTAGGATTGCAACCCCTGCCTTTTTTTGTTTTCCATTTGCTTGGTAGAACTTCCTCCATCCCTTTATTTTGAGCCTATGTGTGTCTATGCACGTGAGATGGGTTTCTGGAATACAGTACACTGATGGGTCTTGACTCTTTATCCAATTTGCCAGTCTGTGCCTATTAATTGGAGCATTTAGCCCATTTACATTTAAGGTTAGTATTGTTATGTGTGAATTTGATCCTGTCATTATGATGTTAGCTGGTTATTTTGCTCATTAGTTGATGCAGTTTCTTCCTAGCCTTGATGGTCTTTACAATTTGGCATGTTTTTGCAGCGGCTGGTACCGGTTGTTCCTTTCCATGTTTAGTGCTTCCTTCAGGAGCTCTTTTAGGGAAGGCCTGGTGGTGACAAAATCTCTCAGCATTTGCTTGTCTGTAAAGGATTTTATTTCTCCTTCACTTATGAAGCTTAGTTTGGCTGGATATGAAATTCTGGGTTGAAAATTCTTTTCTTTAAGAATGTTGAATATTGGCCCCCACTCTCTTCTGGCTTGTAGAGTTTCTGCCAAGAGATCAGCTGTTAGTCTGATGGGCTTCCCTTTTTGGGTAACCCGACCTTTCTCTCTGGCTGCTCTTAACATTTTTTCCTTCATTTCAACTTTGGTGAATCTGACAATTATGTGTCTTGGAGTTGCTCTTCTCGAGGAGTATCTTTGTGGCATTCTCTGTATTTCCTGAATTTGAATGTTGGCCTGCCTTGCTAGATTGGGGAAGTTCTCCTGGATAATATCCTGCAGAGTATTTTCCAACTTGGTTCCATTCTCCCCATCACATTCAGGTACACCAATTAGACGTAGATTTGGTCTTTTTACATAGTACCATATTTCTTGGAGGCTTTGTTCATTTCTTTTTATTCTTTTTTGTCTAAACTTCTCTTCACGCTTCATTTCATTCATTTTATCTTCCATCGCTGATACCCTTTCTTCCAGTTGATCACATTGGTTACTGAGGCTTGTGCATTCGTCAGGTAGTTCTCCTGCCGTGGTTTTCAGCACCATCAGGTCCTTTAAGGACTTCTCTGCATTGGTTATTCTAGTTATCAATTCGTCTAATTTTTTTTCAAAGTTTTTAACTTCTTTGCCATTGGTTCAAATTTCCTCCTTTAGCTCGGAGTAGTTTGATCTTCTGAAGCTTTCCTCTCTTAACTCGTCAAAGTCATTCTCCATCCAGCTTTGTTCCCTTGCTGGTGAGGAGCTGCGTTCCTTTGGAGGAGGAGAGGCGCTCTGATTTTTAGAGTTTCTGGTTTTTCTGCTCTGTTTTTTCCCCATCTTTGTGGTTTTATCTACCTTTGGTCTTTGATGATGGTGACGTACAGATGGGTTTTTGGTGTGGATATCCTTTCTGTTTGTTAGTTTTCCTTCTAACAGTCAGGACCCTCAGCTGCAGGTCTGTTGGAGTTTACTGGAGGTCCATTCCAGACCCTGTTTGCCTGGGTATCAGCAGTGGTGGCTGCAGAACATCGGATATTGGTGAACCACAAATGCTGCTGCCTGATCATTCCTCTGGAAGCTTTGTCTCAGAGGAGTACCCGGCTGTGTGAGGTGTCAGTCTGCCCCTACTGGGGGGTGCCTCCCAGTTAGGCTACTTCAGGGTCAGGGACCCACTTGAGGAGGCAGTCTGCCCGTTCTCAGATCTCAAGATGAGTGCTGGGAGAACCACTACTCTCTTCAAAGCTGTCAGACAGGGACATTTAAGTCTGCAGAGGTTATTGCTGTCTTTTGTTTGTCTGTGCCCTGCCCCCAGAGGTGGAGCCTACAGAGGCAGGCAGGCCTCCTTGAGCTGTGGTGGGCTCTACCAAGTTCGAGCTTCCCGGCTGCTTTGTTTACCTACTCAAGCCTGAGCAATGGTGGGCGCCCCTCCCCCAGCCTCACTGCCAACTTGCAGTTTGATCTCAGACTGCTGTGCTAGCAATGAGTGAGGCTCCATGGGCGTAGGACCCTCTGAGCCAGGTGCGGGACATAATTGGGTGTGCCGTTTGTTAAGCCCATTGGAAAAGCGCAGTATTAGGGTGGGAGTGACCCGATTTTCCAGGTGCCGTCTGTCACCCCTTTCTTTGACTAGGAAAGGGAATTGCCTGACCCCTCGTGCTTCCCGGGTTAGGCGATGCCTTGCCCTGCTTCGGCTCACGCACGGTGGGCTGCACCCACTGTCCTGCACCCACTGTCCGGCACTCCCCAGTGAGATGAACCTGGTACCTCAGTTGGAAATGCAGAATTCCACCAGTCTTCTGCGTTGCTCATGCTGGGAGCTGTAGACTGGAGCTGTTCCTATTTGGCCATCTTGGCTCCACCCCCAACTTTTTTTTTTTAAATTTAAACTTCTGTATCTATTTAGTAAGTATATTTCAAGTTATTTATTCTCCTTGTCTTGAACATATAGATTGTTTTGCTTTTCTATTATAATTATCCTGTAATAGAGTTTCAAAAATGTCTACTATTACACATGTGGAGAAGTTTCTCAAGGTTATATACTAATTGTGAAGAGCTTGTTCTTGAGATAATTATACTCTAATACAGCTAAACATATAGATGAGTATTTTTAAATAATCAGATGGCAATTGGAAACTTTTTTTTTTTTTTTTTTGAGATGGAGTCTTGCTGTGTCGCCCAGGCTGGAGTGCAGTGGCGCGATCTCGGCTCACTGCAAGCTCCGCCTCCCGGGTTCACGCCGTTCTCCTGCCTTAGCCTCCTGAGTAGCTGGGACTACAGGTGCCCGCCACCACGCCCGGCTAATTTTTTGTATTTTTAGTAGAGATGGGGTTTCACTGTGTTAGCCAGGATGGTCTCCATCTCCTGACTTCGTGATCCGCCCACCTCGGCCTCCCAAAGTCCTGCGATTACAGGCATCAGCCGCCGCACCCGGCCAGAAACTTTAAAAGAAGTAGTAACTTGTGGTAATAACGTTCATCTCAATCCACTAAAATCCAACTTCATTGGATATTGCCAAATCACTTTCCAAGGTGAGTGTTTATGCCAACATATATGTAATGTAAAAGTATATGAGCTTCTGAAACAAACAATAAATGTATTTTCAACTTCATCTTCTTTGCACAGGAGTTCTTTTGACTAGGAAAGCCAGGTTAGTAAAGACAGCAAGTTGTGTGGTCTTACATGCTTTCCATTCTCAACTAAACTGTTACATTCTTGTTTCTTCTGTCTTGAGAATTACTTAAGTGTCTTTATGTACTCAAATAAATATACCTGAAAATTTCTCAATTATTAATCTTGCATTTCATCTACAGTAAAAGCTTGGACATGATCTAGTACCTAAGAACTCTGCTATGGTCTGAATTTTTGTGTTCCCTCTTTCCTCAATTTAAGCATTGAAATCCTAACTCCCAAGATGATGGTGTCAGAAAATGGGGCCTTTTGGAAGTTGATTAGGTTATAAGAGTGGAACCCTGATGAGTGGGATCATTGCCTGTGTAGAACAGGCCAAAGAGAACTCATTCACCCCTTCCACTATGTGAGGACACACAAGAAGGCATCGTCTATGAATCAGAAAGTGGCCCTAACTAGACGCAGAATCTGCCAGTACCTAGATCGTGAACTTCTCTGGCTTCAGAACTGTGAGAAATACATTTCTGTGGTTTATGAGCCACCCAGTTTACTGTATTTTTGTAGTAGCCCAAAAGAAGTAATAATTTTTAGGTGTTTTATGTGAAAATTATTTGTTCTTTTAAAGACTATTACTGTAAACTTATGTTACAAGCTTGTCAGTGACAGTTCTCAACACGGTTTCTCTCTTTATTATTTGAGTACCACATTTGTAGGACATTATATTATTTATTTGCACATATAAAATATTCTTCACGTGTGCACCAAATTGGCAAGAAATATGTGTCTGTAAAATAAATTTTAAAAATGTTTTTATGAAGCAAAATTAAAGACAAAATCCATACCTTACTCTTTAATAAATTATACTCCAATACAGCTAAACATGTAGATGAGTATTTTTAAGTAATCAGATGGCAATTGAGAACTTTAAAAGAAGTAGTTATTTGTGGTAATAACATTTATCTCAATCCACTAAAACCTAAATTAAATCACAATAAAGCTTAGCAATATAATGGTATCAAATTGGGTGGGACACATTCTTTTCTTTCATAAATGAAATTACTGCATACTTACAGTGTAAAATACATCTACTGAACATTTCAGAAAATATTGCATCTTATATTTTCTTTAGTCCTATTTTATATATAAAATTTACTGTATTTGGGGTTTGAAAACAAAATTTGCACACAAACCAGTAGTTTTTATAATCATAGAACAGTCATGTTTGCATTTTATTATAATACAACCAAAATATACATTTAACAATTTTTAATTATTTCATACTACAAGACTACATTTCTTTTAAAATAGCAGAATTATAAATTCAAAATTGATTGCTAACCACTCACAATACCAGAATTAAATTACATGATTAACTAGGGCATCTGACACATTTTGCCCTTTCCCAAAAATCATCTATCTCAAACCCTTTCCATAAATACTTTATACTATAAAATATTTAAATGAGAGGTATAAGTCATGTGTATGATCCTGTCTTTGCACTCCTAATGTATGGAATCTGGGAATCGATTTTATTTTACCTGACTTGTAAGATGAATTATTTAAAATTGTGATCATTTACTATGATAAAAATACATCTCCTATAAAAACACTTCAAATATCTTTTTTTTTTTTTGGTTTGTTTCTAAATTATCCATTCCCAATAAGGTTAACCAATTCCAAAATGTTTTCTAAGAAAAATGTGACATTCTAAAGGGAGGCTATTTCAGTTTTGATTTCCATTTGTATTATATAAATAAATATGAAATACAACATTTAAGTTTAAGAAAATCAGTATTTAATGAATGCTCTTATTATTTTTTGGACAGCTGAATGATATCAAGTTGTTCTTGGAAATTCAATTATGATAATGAAAACAAGTGACTACTAATAACTTATTGTTTAGCTGAGTCTGTAAAATTCAGCAGGAACAAAACATACTAGAATATGAAGAACCAAAATATGAACCAAAAGCAAAATTCAAGAGTAAGACCATTTTGTAGCCAGCATATTGTAAAGAGCATTATTTTAGCCAACAGAATGATGAGACTTTATGAATTTTAATTCTTCCACTACTGTTGTGGCTTTTGCAAATTACTAAATTTCTCTGTGACTACTTTTCCATTTCTTAAGTAATTTGGTTGGTTTCCAAAAGTCAATAATGTGGATGTAGTGTTTTGAGCTCTTTGGAAAAAAGGACTCTACATAAATTAATTAGACAATTCATTTCTAAATAAAATCTCAAAATTTACAATAAGTTGAATGTAAATGAATGCAGACATGCGGGATTCTATTTAGCAGCATAAATTGCTGAAATGAAATTCAGAAAAGAACACACAAGGCAGACAAAGACAAAAGTATTAGAGACAAGAAAAATACGAAAACATGAGTAAACAGGCATTTTAAGATCCCCTCCGCAGAGTCAATTTCTTAGCATATTTGAAACCATTAACTATACTTTTCTTTTTCATTATTTTAAGGCAAATTTGATAAAATAGTCAGTGGTGAGGAAGTATATAGTGTGTTTGTGGATTTAATATATTCATACTCTTTCTCTAAATGTTCTAGACAACTAAAAAGCTAAGAAAAAAACACATTTTAGATATTCTTTATCTTTAAAAATACATATAAATATGTGTACTCTATGTTGTTTTTTATTGTGTGAAATTTTATTTTACTAATAATATTTTTAATATATTTTAACTAATTATCATAAATCAAGAGTATTGTATCCAAAGCAGCCAGAATATTAGATGTGGTCATAAAATAAGTTTCCAAATTTTGTCTGAATAACTAGGATTAGAAAGAAGTAACTAAAAAATGGTTTGGACATTCAAATTTGGATAGAAATAAAATTTATTTTCATAAGTCAATCCTAACACTTGAGCTTCATGTAAATTTTCCAAAGTCATTCATATTTTGATCATTACTGTCGGACCCACAAATATTTGGAAATTTTTTTTAAATTAAAAATGTTCCCACTTAATTGCTTTGAGCTCGCTATGAGTTCCTGGAATATTTTGTCCAAGCAAATCTATAATTACAAACACTGTTGTTACGCTATTCAATTAGAAGTCTGATCATGCCACACTGTTCTTCTGAATTACTTTTTAAATGAGTGATTTGTTCTGGTTCACTTTTATTAAAATTATTCCTTAGCTGTTCCTTATAGTGAAACACCTACAAATATTCATCAGTATAATATCAAAAGGGAGTACTCAATCTCATATATCAGTTTGACTACTTTGAGATAGGTAAGCAATGCAAATAAAATAAAAATAACAGAGAGAGAATGCTCTCAACATAGAGCCACAGATCTTGCATTAAGTTGCCCTCTAATCACAGGGTTTTCTCACAGACTTTTCTTTCAAGATATGTAGAATGCATGAGAAACGAGCAATGTCTGTTATTTTCTGAAAAGCTGCCTTCCATGTGAGGAAGTGACTAATTTTTCATTTCACACTATAAAGGGCGTGAAAAGGCAAAACAGAAGAAGGCTAAGGGTTCTGTGTTACAAGAAGGAAAGGTGAGTTCTGCTTAAACAGACAGGAAACACACCATGCATATTCAGAGGGAAAGTCAAATTGAAAACATTTGAAAGTACTAACAAAATATGAAAGATGTTTATGTTAATATTGTGAGTTTGGTTCTTTTTACATGTAGCAGGCTTATTTATTGTTAAATTACAAAAACAATACTACAATTACAACAGATTAACTCAGCAATGAGAAAAGGTTGAGTGAAGATGTCAAAGAGTTAATTTAACCCTTTCCGTTGTTAAAATTTTACACTCGTTCTGTTATTCAACAAATATATATCCCCACTCCCCAGAAATGTCATTTTCTTAATTCTCTGTGTGTTATATATTGTTTTCTCCTATTCACTCAAATATAATCACAAAATCCAATATACAGGAGAGAATAAAGGCAGTAAAAAGAAATAATATACAGAGTATGATAAATATTTTTTAAAAGAGAGAAAATATATACTGAAATATCATTGGTTATAAATAAAATGTCTACTCTTCCTATGATTCTTCAGAAGAATTTATGTTTCCTCAGATTTTGCTAGCAGTTTGTTATAATCTAGATTTTTTTTAACAGATGAATTACAAATTGGCAGCTACTTATACCCTAGTGAAAAGAGCTCCATTACATTACTCTCACTTTATTTGTGATTGTTCTTCCTTTTCATGGGGATATGAGTTTTCCCCAAAGCCAGAATTTATGGCTGTCTTTCCTTCTGTCTTCTAACAAATCCCATCTGCATGCCTTCCCATCAGGATGCATTATACATCATTATGTTTTCCTTGTTTTATTAAAATATTTTCCCATATCTTATTAAAGTATTTATTAAGCATTCTGTCCCTGTAGAGCTTAGTATATACTCTAAAAAACACATAACTAAGCACCAACTTCTCTCTGTGAACCTGTTACTCCTGACTAGTCAATAGAAATCCTGGGGGAAACATTAGTGCCCTTCAGTAAATCAATGTTGTAGTACACTAAATTTAACCCCAGTGGCCAGAAAGAAATAATGCACCTCTCCAAATTCCTATACCATTCTCCAGGAGTGAATGGCTCACTGAGAAAGTTCCTGTTGATAATGGGAGTTGTCTTAATTTGTGTCTGACCTCTTATTCCCTACCACAAGGTAGCTGGTTCTCAATAGGAATGATATATCTGTTCATAAGAACATAGCACAACTGCATGGTAAATTCCATGCTTAATGGACATTCGAGGGAATAAAGCACCTTATACACTATCAAATTCGGGGCTTGCTTAGCTCAACTATTTACATGACAATAAATTCCAAAACTCAAAACATAAAACATTTACAACTGTAAACCCCCTATTTTTAGGATAATTCTTATACTTTGCTTGTGCAAGATTTGTTCTTGGAAAACTGGTTCAAATGAATTTTTTGCCCTTTCTTATATTCATCACATATTGTCTTATTCAGATTATTGTCTTGTGCCTTAGCAAAACTCCATGGGAAGCATTTATGAATTACTATAAGGGATATACAAAACAGAAGGCAATGTTTTTATAGGTAAGGAATTCTTTTCTTTAAATTAAGTAGAAAACTACGTGGCTACAGCTCTAGGGAGCTCATCCAGGTCTCTGTGATGTCTTCGATTTCGTTTCTTCTTCATTTCCTGCATGTGCTTCCACTTTGGGCCCCCCTTGTTTCTCTGTCTCCGCTTCTCCCTGTGCCACATCTGTTCGCAGTACTGGTCGAGGCTGAAGTTTGGGCTGCTAAGGATTTGGATGTAGTCTTTGTATCTCAACCGTGACTCAGCCAATAGATCCTTGACCTTCCCCTCCTCATGCTCTGCCCTCTGGGTATTTTCCATCTGTTCATTCTCAATGACATTCAAAGTCAGCTTCACTATGGTGTGGATGAAAGTGTGCTCCTGGGCTTTGCAGTAATACATCCCAGAATCCTTCTTCTGCAAACTTCGAATCAGTAGCCCATATTCCGTTTTGATGATTCTTTCATCGGGCTTCAACTGCAGAATTGGAAAAATGTAGGTAATAAATTAAACACAGAGAGAGCTAAGAGCAAATGAAAACAGGCTACATAGTTTTACTTAGATGAATATGAAAGACATATTCATTGTCTCTCTGTCTCTGTCATCAAGCATAATATTGTCAGCCATAGTTAAAAAGAGTAAAAAAATTCAACAAAAGTAATAGCCCCCAAACTATATCCTTAATTTTTCACATTTGAATCTTAGTAAGTCTAACTGAACCTTTGGAATGCAGTTATTTTTTTTCTCTCAATATGCAGATAGGAATGAAAAACTGTGAAAAGTAATGAAAAACTGGAAACCATCAAGTGGCCTTCTTTACAGAGATTTCATATACAAATTACTGTATCAAGATCATAAATTAGCACCTGAAATGTGGAGCAAGAATGCAACATTTACAATTGTATAGAACACATTGTATAGAAAACGAGCTTCAGTACATGCTACTACCTATAATGTAGAATAGAACAATAATTCCAAGTGGAATTTACTGCTTTCCAGATATCACCAAATACGTTCTGTGAGTAGCATATGAAAGCCATAAATGATGACGTCTTTAAAGTCAAAGCCAAAGGTACGGGTATAGTCTTTTGGACGTTAGAGCTGTAATTGAGTAGGACCCTAGTCAGAAGATTAGCAACATTGAAAGCTGAATTTCTCTCTTTGCTGTGGATTGAATTTTCATACTGTATATATATGTGATACTTTATACTGTCATTTGTGGAAATATTTGCCATGCCTTTGTATGCTATGACATGGTAATGTGATTTCAAGTGTGAGAAAGCACAATGAACACAAAGAACTTCTACTGAAATGTGATGCTCTCCAGCCTTTGAAGCATTATTACTAAAAGACAATTCTAACATTAAGCTTGACTGGCTCATGATATGGTGTGAATAATGAACCTATCTTCAGTAAAACTAGAGGCATGTTTACCCACAAAAGAGCCCTGCTTAATGTGGAGTATTGTTGAGTGGTTCAGCATTAAGTGGAATAACAACAACAACAGCAACAAAGAAGTTCTGGAAGATTTCCCAGTTTACACATCTGCCCCTGTATTGTAGACTTTTAGATGATGGAAATCAAGGAGGCATAAAGATGGCTAAATTAAATTTATTCACAGTGGGTGGATTGTACTCTGCATCTTTATGTGAAAAATATGTAGGAAAAAATCTCCCCAATTCTGGAAATATGAGAAAAGGAAAAGAAACATCTCTGGCTACCAGCCCAGTTAACTAACAAGTATATGGCAAGCCACCCTCTGTGCCAGAGAAGTGCAGCTGGCGGGGAACCATTTGAGGCCAAAGGCAGGTCACAGCTCAGATCCCTGGTTAATGAGGCTGAATGGTCTCCAGGCCTGCCTTTGCTCTGCACTGAATCCACACCATCAGAGTTTTGTTTGTTTGTTTCTCTTATGTTGCCTATTTGGTAAGCTGGATGTGGTATTCTTTTTCTTATGGATTTATTCTTAAAGCCCAGACATTTAGAAATGCTATTGTAATACAAACTAACTTTGAATTAATTTACATTCTCAGAAACCATAGAAGTCTCATGCCTAAAATAAATGTGAATTTGAATTGGGAGAGTTCTAAATGGCCAATCTTAAACATAACTGACAATCTCAAATTTAATACACTACGTATAATTGTTTTTTTCCCTTAGATAATTTCATTGTAATTTTTTAAAATTTAATACACTTTAGGTCTCAAAATGCTAGCTTCATAACCTAACCTTCTGGTCTCTACTCTGTTTCCTATGATGACTCATTTTTCTTCCCCCATTGGTCTCCCATCTATCAAGTTGGTGGCACAGCATATGGTGTGTTTGGGGGATTAAAAGCAAAGCTCTTTGAAGGTTAAAATGTGAAGTATTATTAGCAACATTACATACTACTGCCATGCTGCTTGAGAGGTAATATTTTGAAGCCTTTATTACTGTAATTCTCTTAATAGAAAATGGCCTGAGGTTATTAGCATGACAATCAAAGTGGATATCTCCACTTCTAGTTCATCTCTAGATTTCCTTTACATAACTGGTACTCTTGCTTATGTTTAAATTACATTTAATGTGGCTTTTAGAGATTATCACAGCTCTGACTAGGACTTTTTATTGTTCTCTTTAATCTTCTGACAGGAAGAAATTATGACTTGATCTCACCCATATTGTGTAACACTTCATCATTACTTTTGCTATTATCTTTTTGTATCCTGTTTATGTTGTTGTACTTTGAGGTCTGGTTCCCTTCCATCCTTTCCCCTCTAGTTCTGTCCCCACAGGACTCAGGATTCCATAAACACCTGGCATTCCATTACACGGTCATGATCTTTCAACTTTCTTTTCTTCCGTGGAGTGCTGGATTTGTTCTGTGGTTTTTGACCTACAGATATCATACTTGATTTAATAAATTTTCAGCTTTCTAGGTCTAACTAATGTCTGTTAGATCATTTAACTATTATTTTTCTTGCTAAAATTTCAATAATATGCTTTCAGTAAACTGGCAGCTCTAATAAAAGACATTTTGAATAGATATATTTACAGAGAATTTTTGCAATTTAGAGATAAAAATCTGTGACCCAGAAACTAAGTAGTTGATTAACATTTGCCTACTTTCCAGTCTCTTTCTCTGTAATGCTTTCATTCTTTGCTGAAATAGGATGCATTATGCAGACTGTATCTCAACAGTGAAATGTCAGCACAGTCAATTTAGAAAATTCAGCTCCTCAACAAAGAGATAATGTAATCTCTGGCCATTGATTTAAACTCTTGGAATTTTCTCCACTCTAGAAGTGATAAGTAAAAACTGCTCAACTTTACAAATTAAAACCACGTTTGAGCTGGGGTCAACTATCCATTTGCCTAATGTGAACAAGGATAATATAACTGGCATTATTAAATGTAGATCTTCAGTGAAGGGCAATTCATCTAACATGAGAAGAGTAACATGGAAGGGACAAAGGACATTTAAGTATTAAGCAGCAGGTAAAGGTCAGGGACTTTATCTCTTATAATAGCAGCCTAATAGTAGTTCTTTTACAGATAATTCACCTGTCAGTTCTTTCATAGTAAAACCACTGCACGTGCCTTGGAAGAGATCAGGGCTTCAAAAATATCCCCTTTCTCTAACAAACACAAAATATTACTAGAGGGAAATTAGGATTAAAAAATAAAGAAAGCTCCTTGTGTGAGAAAACAAATGTCTGCAAAACTGTTGCAAAAATTTTTCTGTATTTAAGAAATAGACTGAAAAGTTTTCTTATTTAATTTGGAAGAAAGGAAAATGAACTGGAATGGAATCATTTGTATACATGTTTTTAAATTTATCAGAGTTTACTTACATGACACTGTATATCATCCATCTATTATACCACAAAACCGACAATTAATATTTTAAGTAAACATTAGAAAAGGGAAAACTTACTAAAGGGGATGCTGGAGCAATGAGCTCGTTATTAAAAAGAAAAAATCAAATATACACATACCTAAATAACTACTAGATTAATTTACTATCTTTGGGTACATGTAAATACAATATGCAAAATGTAAAAAAATCATAAAATAACTAGAAAAATATATAATTGCTGTCTCATTGGGGAAGGAGTCTTTAAGCATAACAGGTGAGATATCACAGAGCCATAAATCAACAGATTTGCCTATATAAAACATAAAATGTGTCAGAAAGTCAGAAATTGTCAGAAACAAAATAAATGTAAAATAAAATAAATGTATATGTATAACATTAAATTATTAATATCTGTAATATATAAATGACATTACAATTATTATTAAATAAACATGCCAATATAAAGTAAGCAATGACAGACAAGACAATTCACCAAATACAACCGAAGCCAACAACCAAGACACATAAGAAGGTAAGTTCACATTCACTAATATTCAAAGAAGTAGATATTAATGCAATACATTTTTTCATATTAAACTGATAAAGATTTTCTTAAATTGTGAACCATAATTTTGCCTCAGGGATTCATAACAGACACTAATACAGTGATTTTTATGTGAAATTAGCAATACGCTGTTGTTTATCAAAATCCATAAAGATAACAAATGTCTTTAACTTATTTATTTTACTTCTAAGATTTTTTTCCTAAGAAAATAGTTAGAAAGCAGAGAAAGACTCAGATATAACAAAGTTCATTATTATTATTTTAAGCAGGAACATGATCTAGTGAGAGAACACCTGGAATACCTATGGATAACTACGGCATCAGGGTAGGATGCGTGGGAGACAGAAAAAACATGGAAGTGACATTAAATGATAATGGAAAATGCTCACAGTGCAATGGTGAGTGAAAAAAAAGCTGGAATAGACATCAAAATATTATTTATGCTTATCTACACTTAGTGGCCTCATAGTTCTTTTATGTGTTACTGTAATTTTAAAATCATTTATATTGCTTTTAGAATAAAAAGAACAAAAATAAAATAAGGCTTACAAGTGGAATAATGCAAGTATTTGAAGATTTTTTAAAATGTTATTAAAATGCACAGAGAAAATATAGTATGGCCTTGTTTACTTATTCAGATCCCAAAAGTTCAACAGAAGCCTGGGGACTGCCAATTGACTTGCTAGTTATAGCATAAACATCATCAATTTTAAGAACAGTTTTATAAGAAAGTCAGCAGATAACTGACTCATGACCTCCCGTACAGCACCCAACTGTGAAACAGCTCAGTAAGGAAATGTTCTCCTCCTGGCAGAGAATAACCTGGTGACAGCCTCTGTGCCACAGGAGATCATGGTCCCTCCCGCAGGCTGTTTTTGAGTGGAGGAAAGATTCCAAACTGTGACCTTATGGGTAAGAAGCAGAAGGCATCCTGCTGGGAAAAATGCTTCAAGTATAATCTGGATATTGCCCTTTTCCTCAGCTCAGGAAGCAGTATTGCATACCCTGGACAATGTGAAACTCTCTATTTACAAAGATAAATGAAAATACCAGTTGAAATATTACAGCAAAGATACTTCTTTTAAGTAAAATTCGATAAGTATTTCTGCTCCATTGAAATTCATGGAGCATGGTACCATTATGAATATATAATATACTTTTAAAAGGTAAATTAAAGTAATGCACAGAATTTTCAAGAAAATGAAAGATGTGAGTGCAAACAACCACAGGCAAATGTAAGTATCTAGAGCTGAGAGCTGAACTCAAGCAGAGGACCACATATTTTTAAAAATCAGATTAAATTTCCCATGAAGAAAAAAGCCATTTATTAAAGAATTATATTTAACTGAAAAGCAATTATCCAACTTTATTCGCTATGAAATTCAAAATATTGGTTTGTGACACTTAAGATTAAAACATTGCAATGTAACAAAAAATCTGCAAGTTAAAAAATTTCAGTATCATTCTTTCAATATTTCTTGGATAGTAAATAAATGCCTTATATTTTGAAATTAAATAATCATTTCTGTATCAAATAATATTTCAATATATAGGTAAAAAATGGGACCCTTAAAATAAATATTCAGTGTAACTATGAATCTGCCATAATCTTAGGACTTATAGAAGTCAGGAATGATGACGAATCTAGTTTTATTGGCGAAATTTGACTTAACAAAGCATGAAATTATTCCTTTATTTTTGTATTAAGTATGTAAAGAGTTAACATTTAGAAAAAGTTATTCTTGTAGCTGTCAGATGAAGAGAATTATATTAAATTCTTCATGTAACAGTAGAGCTATATCTTTAAATTAATTTCTTATGATAAAATTTGATTTTTTTACTTGAAGGTTTCTTAACCTCTCAGCAGCATTCACGTTTGGAGTGAGATTTTTCTTTTACTGTGAGGGACTGTGCATTGTAGGATTTTTAGAATCATCTCTGACCTCTACCCAGTACACACCAGGGGCACCCACTTGGCCACCCACCCACCCAGCTGTGATGTTCAAAAATGTCTCCAGACATCGCCCAATATTGGCACTCTGGAAACAAAATTACTGGAGGTTGAGATCCACTGTTATGTACTAATGTTTGACTTAATTACATGTACTATTTTAAATGTTTATAGACTTTTCAATAAGGCTGATATTTTAGAGAAATTTGATTTATTTACATAAGAGAGAAACTCAGTTCTAGAGAAGTTATGATCTGCTCATGAATTCTCAGGAGTCAAGCCAAAGGTAGAACCAGTATTTTCCAAACACATGATTAGTACCCTTTCCTGATCCACATGTAAAATACCCTCACTAATAGGGTATCTGTAATTTTATATGCATATTTTACAGTTGTAAGAGCCTCTTTTTTGAAATTCTACATTCTCATATGCATTTTGCACTTAATTTTATAGTAACTTTTGAATTTATTTTGTTCACTTAGAAAATTGGGGGCTCAGGAACATTACCAAAGGTTTAAGGACCATGTTTCAACTCAAGATATGCAGTTCTGAATCCTGTGTTCATTCCATTATTCATTATAGTGTCCTTAGTTTAACATGTCTGGATACTTATCTAATTTGCTCATATAATTTGATAAACATAGATATTTCTGTTTTAATATAACCCTCAAAATGTTTCATTTCATGATCTAAATTAAACACAATGTGAACTAAAATGTAGTCACTGTGCTACTGTGGGAAGAAAAATACGGTGTTCTTGTTATTAGTCAGGGATTTGTTCCTAAATATAGGCAATCTATGAAATATGGAATTTGGAAAAAAAATGTAAATTTCTTTAAAAAAATCAGTCTGCTTTCAAATATATTTTACGAATACATTTGTGTGAAGTTGGCCTATTCTTATCTCAAAGCTATTGTTACCTTTGGTGTTAGTGAGTAAAACCTGTTATTTTTTTTAATCAAATAATGATGAGAGTAGCATACAGAATTAAAAGTTGAACATCTCTCAATCGTACACTATTTCCCTCAAAGTGAGTATTCTTTGATGACAACAGCTTACCTCCTCTCGATGCTCATCCCCTGACCTCTGGATATACCATTTAATAGTTGCTTGTTGGGATTTAGGTATACATTCCAGAAAGGTTGAGTTAAATTCAATGCCAAAAATCACCTTTTCATCAGCAGTTTCATGACTAATGCCTGGAAAGCAAACATGGAATAAGAGATTAACCTTGACCTGATTTTAAAAGCAATGGGAAAACAGACTGATTCAGAACAGATGCCATGGGGAAAGAATCATATACATTATTAAAGAGAAAGGAAATTCATGTTATAATATTGTTACCTGAGACAAATATTACACAACAGATTGATTTTTAAAATTTGATCCCTGTATTGTAATTTTTATTCTTTCATCAATATATTAGCTATTTGCACTTGATTTTAAAAAATAGTGTTCATAATATCAAACTCTATATATTGAGATTTTTTTCTTTGAGCTGAATAAATCTTTTGCATCTTTTAGTGCTTTAATACTTTTTTGTTAATATAAAATATAAACAATTTTGTAGATAGTTCTGGAGGGGCAGTTTGCTTTAATTTAAAGATAATTTCTATCATGAATTGGTCCACAGAGCTGATCAGATAACAGAAAATTTTGATATCAGAAAAGTAAGTTATAGTGATCTGCACCTGACAAAATTCTATGATGATGATGATGAGCCAGATGCACTAATACTCAATATCTGGGCCTTATCTGTATTAATCTACCATTTTTTTTCTTTTTTATACTGAGGGATTTTTTAAACCCAATATACATTTGCTATGAGATAGTTACTAGGATGCTTAAAGGAACAGTGTCTCAGACACCTTATTCTCATAAATCAATGCACCATCTGAAATACATTCCATCTAGAGTAGCCAAAGGCTGTGTCCCTTGTGTGATCTAAGAGCTCTAGCTCAAATTTGATCAAATAAAAAATGACAGCTGCTCAGCTTGGCCCAAATATGCACTATTTCATCATATATTCAGATATCTCAATTTTACAGATTGGCTTACTTAGCACTATAGACATCAACTAGAGTAAGGTTTAAGGGACCAAGTGAATCCTAAACCTAAGCATACAAATGAGCAGCAAATGGCATAATTGCACATATATTAGTTAGGCTTCTTTTCAAGAAACTAATTTTGAATTTATTTGTGTTTTATCAGCAAGGATTAAGTCAAGCATGCTGACACCATTATGAATTAACCTCATCTAACCTTCAAAATGTGTGGATTCCATTTAAAACCTGTAGTCTATCAACTATCTCCACCAATTCAACAGATTATAGCTGTGATTTTTACAGTTAATAAATTCCTAATGCACAGAAAGATCACTGGTGCCAGTCATGGAAAAGAAAGACATGCACCATCTTATAATAACAGATACAATTTTCCTGAGAAAGGGATTTTGTCAACAAAGTAGGGGACGATGTAGGTTGATTGTTGGGATATGGGGCAAGGGTTCAGGAGAAATGCAATTAGACTGACTTAACCAAAGAATTGGTCAATTTAGTAAAAGATAAATTGGTGAAATCAACTGGAAAAGTAATAGTGAGCTCATTATCTGAACTCTTTTTTCAAATTAATAGAAATAATGTCTGACATCTCTGCATCAGTTTCACTGAAAATGAAAATGAATTTATTGTTACTTCCAATAATGTTTGTTTCACTTTTGAATTTTAAGTTTTCCACTTTAAAAGTTTTTAAACGTACATAGATGTATGCATATTATATACACATACACACACACATACACACACTATCATACACAAAGGTTAAGCATCCTTAATTCAAAAATCTGAAATCCAAAATGCTCCAAAATCCAAGACATTTTCAGCACAGACATAAACCACAAGTGGAAAATTCTACTTGATAGTTGCAGTCAAAAGGCAGGGACACAACACACAGTTTATGTGTGAATAAGTGTAAGAAAATGATTGCTTATTGGTAACATATAAATTCAGAGTCAGGAATGATGGTGATGCCATGCAACCACAGATTGTCCACATTGGTGGCTGAGAAAATAACACCTTTACTTTCTTATGGTACAATGTACACAAACTTTGTTTCATGTACAATAATATTAAAAATACTATACAGAATTACCTGAAGGCTATGCGTATAAGGTGTATATGAAATATAAATAAATTTTGTGTTCAGATTTGGGTCCTATTCCAAGATATTTCATTATGTATATGCAAATATTCCAAAATCTGATAAAATGCGGAATCCAAAAACCTTTTGGTCCCAGGCATTTCAGATAAGGAATATTCAACTTGTTTTGTTCTATCATGACCTAAATTTTAAATGTGTAAAAGTTATATACCATAGTGTTTTGAAATAGTTAAAATAGCTTCTTATTACATGTAAGATAATTGTGGAGTTTTTTTTTCCTCTAGATTGCAGTCAAAAAAATTTTTATAGTAAAATGCCTAGAATACCTCTTTATAATAAATATATAGCTTGTCATTAAAGTGCAAGATTGATCTGTTTAATGTTGTTGAACTATTTTTCTGCATGTATTGCTGATTTTATGTCACTGATAATCATGCAATTTTGTAGCTTTTAACAATTAAAGCAATAATGAAAGAAAATAAAGAAGAAAAGAAACATCTTTGCCCATTATTCAAGACTTGACTTTCTAATAAAATGCAGCACACATTTATGGTGGATTAGAAACAAGTCATTTAATTTGTAAATATCATTACAATCTCTACTCTAACTCCCACAATTGATTATTTGCCTCTAGTGTTTCATACTCCAATCAATTTTCTATACAGGTGTCAATCACTTTTATTTAAAAAAAAAAACAACTTTTCTGAGCAATATGAAATAGCTCCTAGCACCTATAAAGTAAGAAATAAAATTAATAGAATCACATAGACCCTTTCACAAACTTTACCCAATCTATGTGAGGTCTTTCTGATTTTAATTATTGTTACTTCATTTACTTTATAAAATCTAACTTTCTCCTGAAGGTATAGCTCAAATGCTATCCATCTGAATATCCTTCCATTTACCTGTCTATTGCACAACTGTTATTGTGTGCCTAACACACTAACATCATTTTAGGTGCTAGGATAATATGACAGGACGAATATGAAATTCACTGCCCTCTAGAAATTTACATTCTAGTGACATAGACAAAGTAATCAAGTAAATGAATAAAAAAGGAATATCTGCTGCAAAACAATAAAGGAGATGAGAAAATACCAAGGGCAAAAAAAAAATGTATTTTAGATGAGATGATCAGGAAAGGTGTCTCTGAAGAATTAACATTTAACTATAAGATTAATTGATATAAAAAGATGGAGCTAAGTAAACATCTGAAAAACAAGTTCCTCAGGTACAGAGGACAATGAATGCAAACATACATAAGGCAGCAACCCATTGATGCTTTTGAAAAAGAGAAAGCTACTAAGTGAATCTAGCAACAGTGATGTGAGAGAGGGTCAGAGAATATACTAGCGATCAGGTCAAGAAGCATCTTACATGCCATAGGAAAGCTTTCCGGTTTTTCACCAATTGTTCTAAGAAGCTATTGAAAAATGTTGAGTAAGGGAGTGACATGCCCTGACTGAAGTTTTTAAAAAGATGACTCTGGCTAGTAAGTGGGGTATACAACTAAGTGGGGTACAGACAGAAGTGGTTCAAGTGTGGAGGCAGAGAGACCAGTGAAGTAGCTACTGAAGAGCTACTGTGGCCTCAGTTAGGCTGGCATCTGTGGGTATGATGAGAAGTAGGAAAGCTTGGCCATGAGCCAGAAGGACTAACTGAGAGGTTGGTGATAGGATGGGAAAGAAAGAAAATAATATAAAAGTGACTCCTAGCTGCTTTTTGACATAAGTAGCTGGGTGAATTGTGTGCAATTTATTAATATAGGAAAGTCTGCTGAACAAATAAGTCTTGAAGAAGATAATAAGAATTCTTTCTCAGACATAAGTTTGAAATGCTAATTAGGCTTTCAAGTGGAGCTCTTTAGTAGGCATACAAGTGTCTGTGTCTGGTACGTAAGGGTGAGTTCAGAATTGGACTATGAATTTGGGAGTGAAATAGCCTCTGATAGTGTTGAAATAGACAGTATTAGGGAGTCAGTAGACAGAGAATGGAAAAGTGGCTGGGGACACTCCAATATTTAAAAGGTGAGATGAAAAGGAAAGTTAAGAACACTCAGAAGGCAGTCTGAAAGGTAAGAGGTTAACCAGAAGGATATGGTACAAGGGCACATAGGTATGCTGGAATATCATTTCTCTGAAAACAAAACAAAACAACAAATAACGTAATTTGTAGCGCTTGCTGATTTTGCTGTTGTAAATACTCCCACCATGTCTGATTCAAGCTTTCAGTGGTTTAAAATCAGCTCACAAAATTTCAAAATTTTAAGCAATCAACTTATATGAGGCCACATGAACTGGCTCTAGCACACAAATGCATGGAAGGCAAAAGAAAGTGTTTCAAAAAAGAGGGAGTTAGAGCTTAAGTAAAAATGAGAACCGAAAATTGGCCGTTGGATTTGGCAAGGAGGAAATTGCCGGTGACCTTGACAAGAATAGATTGGATAGACTGATGATGATGATTATTAGAAAAGACTGTGTGCAGTGGGTTATAGCATGAATAGGGTATGGTAAAGTGAAGACAAAAATTGTGGGTGCCTAAGGCAGCAACTACGTTTTGTATCAGTTTCTTTGTAAAATTTATCATTTGACATAGCATTTATTTTACTTGTTTTGGTATTTATTGTCTGCTCTCTCCCCCAACACACTCTTGAATATAAATATCGTGAATGCACAGATTCTTTTGTTGTTTTCTTTGTTGTTCATTGCTGTATCCTCAATACCTATAATCATCCCCGATAAATTTCATATTCATATGTAGATAATTGCATATGTATCGCACAGTAATGATTGCTAACTAAAATAACGGACATCACAATGAATCACCTACACATTAGAACAAGAAGCCAAGCACACTAATCTGGACCAAGGCTTATTTTTCAGAAGAATTAAGTTATAAGTTAAAAATAACTGTTTTGTTTTTAAATCAAGCAAACACTACCAGACCACCAGTTATAGATTATGAAATTTGGGTTATTTACATCACTGGTAGGGTGTTTAGTAACATTGTGATAAATGTGTTCTTCTTCCACCTGTTCGTGTGTGTGTGCATGTGTGTGTGTTTGGTGTGTGTGTGTGCATATATTTTCGATCTTAAGGCAGAGCTTGAGAGTGTAAAGTAGCTGCAGCTCTGGAATACATACTTTTATAGATTTGTTTTCTCTGTTCTCAGACTCACTCACCAGGCCTCCTCTCTTTTCCCCCACACTGGCCTTCTCCTTCTTTCAAGATCTTCTATTCTGTGATTAATTTTTCTAAACAATACAGCCTTTTGGTGATCTCTCTTTCACTAAACTCCCCTATCACTAATTATGCCTTATGACACTTCCCAAAAGATTCATAAGCTCTCTAAGGAGTTTCTTAGTCACATAGTATACCCAGGACAATTACATGCACATGGAAGTCGCTTAATAAATATTTATTGATTAAGTGAATATATGATTTGATAGGTGAATATAAATAAAGTATAGACTACCTAAAAACTTTTTTCTAATAAGACCTACACTTTTACCAGACTTCTGGGAGGTCTATTTGAGTTTACTCTAAATGTCCAAATGTTTTCTGTTATATCCTGTTTTATCTCTAATAGCAGTTTTCAAACTTTATAAGGATGGATAAGGTAGTAAAAAAGAAACAAAAGCTACAGTTTAGGAATTTTAAAAGACATATGAAACAAATAATGATATAACAAAGGATTATTCAATTAGGCACGTAGACAGGGGTTGATTTATAAAATTTCCTGTTGCTCTTCCAGAACACATGCATTACACAAAATGGAGATATTCTTATATAATAGATGGTTTAAGTCATATAATAAAAAGATACAAAGAGTGGGCTTAGCATTTTAAATGGGAGAAAAAGCATATCAGAGCTGTACTTACTGTCTTCGATGTCCCAGCACTGGGTGATTGGGTCGCCATATTTTACATCTTGGCGTCTAGCTCTCCTGCGGAAAGGGGATTAAACTTATTAGAACTTCAAGCATGATTACCATCATATAGAAAGGCTACATCTAATACTAATAACAGTGGCAGATGCAGTACTATGCTTGTCTTACAGTTCAACTTAAATGCAAGTCAATATTCCAATCAATCTAACATTGATTTAAAAAACTACTGGTAATGAGGTCCAAATAGAAGAAATCCTTTTCAGACAATGAGATGACATGAATTTTATTTAACTACGCTTCTTTTTCTCTATTTTTTTCACAAATTATTCAACAAAAAAGGTTAAATAAAAATACAACCTAGGTTTTATATAATTAAAATGAGGATAGCTACTCTCTTTAGGAACTCTCTTTTTAGTCAGTCATTGAGAAATAATAATATATAAAAGCGTTCAGTCAGTGGCTAGGAACATATACACAAATACAAAACACCTTGTCATGTAAAGATTCATTATTGCATAGATTTAATTAAGCAACAAACTAAATACTGTAACTTGAAATAGAATTATAAATTCAGTGTGGTATAAAAGACTACCTGTTATTTCTATCTGCTGATGAGTAGCTCAAATTGTTTTTCTCATAGTTATGATCATAATAATAATAATAAACAATGGCTTTTGTATCACATCACATATTTTCCTTAAAAGAAAGGAGTAATTATTTTATTAAAAAAAATCCCTGCTACATCTAAGCAGGTCTTACACTCTTACAGCATACTTTCATTTGCTTTGGCTATTTTATTTTGTCACTTCAGAGATCAGAAAAGTACCAGTAAATGTTCTGTGATATCTATAGTGTTCCTTGAGGGTAATGCTGAACAGATGACAACAGATGACAAGATTCATCCATTATACACATCTTTTGGCTCACATGACATTATGTTAGGTAAGGGAAAACATCACAGTGGCATGTCTGAAAGATCAGAGATACAGTCTTGGGAAATACAAGAAGAAAAAATTATGATGGTATAAGGTACATAGGTCAAGAATGTTTTTAAATCTTAGCTTCTTAAGGAACAGGGTCAATTCATCAAACTGAAGGTTTATTACCAACTAATGAGCATTCTTGTTTTTCAGCTTCTAGGAAAGCATTCCCCAAAGACTATAATGAGCAAGTTCTTGGCCAAAAACCATAACAAAATGTGGGTGACTTTTAACTTTTAATTTCTAATAATCATATGTACCCATTTCAATTTAATTCATGGATTTCAGGGAATATAAAATGTTTTCTAATTTTAAGTAATATTTGCTGTTGAACTATACATTCAATTTGTAATTTCCTAGAATTTAGAATTTGAGAAATCAATAAAATTCCAAAAAGAAAAAAGTGTACTTGTGGTAATGAGACTAGCATGTGCCTGTTAGTTTAAAAACAGACCTAAAAATAAATTTGCTTACATTTCACCTAGAGGAAAATATACTTCGAATACTTTAGAAAATAATGTTACTATAATCAACATTTTAAAATAATTAACATAGTATATTTAGCTAGCATCAGGCATATCGATGGGCATTCATATTGTTTCCAGTTATTTTGCTATAAAAATAATGCTGAAATAAACATTCTTGAACATATAACTTTGTTGTACTTTTGCACATGTGTATATAGAACAAATTCCTAGCTTGGAATTGTTGGCTCAAAATAGCATTATTTCTAAGAGCACATAAAGCAATGAACTACAAACAGCAAGGAAACCGTTTGTTGTTTAATTATATGAGTGGCAGAAATTGACCAAGTTATAATTATTAGAGTAAAAATAAAATTATACCAAGTCACTAGGCTGCACTGTGGGTTTCATACAATCTGTGCTTGTACAATCATATATATTTATATATTATTTGCAAAACAGTGGGCATCAGTATATACATATTTAGAAATAAGAAATAAGGAAGGAACAATTATAAAAAAGGCAAAATAGTGAATAAAAACAAACCTTTAATAGTGCTTGACATAAATGAAAGAAAAGAATATATAGAATTTATTAAAATTGTTTGAAGTTCCATATTTCAGAATTTCAGAGCATCTGTTTTACCCTCCTTCAAAATTAAGTTTTATGTAAAAATATAAAACAACATTTTGATTTTAATATTCCTTCCATAGGACATGTTAGTAATATATTTTCTCTTTAACTTAAACTATAAGACAAAGCATTAATGTGAGATATTCAGCTTGTAGAAAGGAAGCCTTTATATTAACTCCATGTGCCTCTTACCTTTTAGAAGTAGGAGCATATCGAGAGCATGCATTTCCATCCCAGGCACAGTAGGGGTCTCTGGCAAGACAACAGTCTGCGCAAGCTTTCCCATAAGTGTCGCATCTGTGCAAGGAGAGCTGAACCAATCCATCTCGGGAACCAATGTACAATTGTTGCTGCAAATCGGGCAAAACAAATGAATTAGAAGCATCTTTCAGACTAGTCTTAAGAATTTCCTTTTCTTGAATATCACATAATACATATAAATCTGTTTCTCTGGGTGTCCTGCCCATTGTAAACACTTGTACAGAAACATAATGAGGAGTAAAATAAGTCAATCATTTCTATCCTGGTTAGATGGTAGTTTGAAGATTTTGATGCTGAAATGGACAGCATTCTACAAGCTTGGCAGTAATTTCAGAAGGTCAAAAACCAGCTGCTAGACAGGAATTAAGATGTCAAATTCTTTCTCAATACTAGAAAATGTACTTTGAGAGATTATGTCCAGCACAGATGCTATAGGCAAAGCTCACGGTCTTCCCAAGACTTCCCATGGCTCCTTATATAAGAGACGACTGAAAATAAATTTATAAAGCATTCCCCTGATTTCAATTAACCATTTCATTTGTTATTAAAGTACTGATCCTTGAAAGAATGTGAGTTATTAGTGGGAGAGAAAGTATTTGTTATCACTCTGAAGAAAGTATTAAACAGGCTTGAGGGATGCTATATCACAAATGAAAGGCTGCATGATACTGAAAAACCCAGCAAACAAAATCACATTTTCAATATAAGTCCTGAAAGTAATGCATTACTTCCCTTATACATTCTTTTGAGTATCTGTGGTAGTAGCGGTGGAGGGGGAGGGGTGATACAAGTGAATAAGCCACAATCTGTGCCTTCAAAGAACTCATGGTCCACTCTAGTGGACCATTTCAAGAGTTAGAGGGGGGATATCTATGTTAGAAATAGGTATTGGCATAATAACATAGTACTCAACTTACAGAAATGGGTCTTACACCTTTAGCACCCATTAAACTGTCAGTTAAGACTTCCTAGTTGTTAAATGCAATGAACACTGTTTAGTATTTGTTTTACTGAAATTCTCTATACTGTTTGACACTAATGACTATATGTTCCTTGAAACTTTCTCTGCTTTCTATTCTCCCTCTTCATTTCGGATTAAGACATTTGTCTCCTTTGTGATTCCTTTTTTTTTTTTTTTTGCATTAAATGTTGGGTTTCCGTCTTTTTGCTTTATTTATTTACCTTTTATATTGTACAAAAGACTTAGATATATCTTGAAAACAATATAAGTATAAATGTAATAACCCCCCCTAAATCTACTCCTCCTGCCCTACCTTGGAGAGTAGCACTCTCATCCACCAAGTCATCCAAGACAGAAATCTGGGAGTTGTCTTTGAATCTTCTTTCTCTCACATTCAGTCTGTCATCACTTCATTTCCATTCTCTCATACAGAATTTTCTAATCTATTTCCTCCCCTCCCTTGCTACAGCCACTAACTTTGTTTCAGTCCTTATCACTTCTTTCCTGGATTACTTGTAAGTGTCCTATTTCTGCTGGCTTTGATTTTGTTTTCCAACAACCCCCATCTCTACCCCAGTACCCAGTC
Source organism: Homo sapiens (assembly GCF_000001405.40). NCBI lineage: Eukaryota > Metazoa > Chordata > Mammalia > Primates > Hominidae > Homo > Homo sapiens. Next base: position 85,016,675 of record NC_000007.14, read on the forward strand.
TATCTTCCACACTGCCACACCAGACTAATCTTTCTAAAAAGAAAATCTTATTATAACACCCTCCTTCTTAATCATAAATGTATTTTTGTTTGTTTGTTTTCCTTTTCAATGGCTTTTTTTTTTTTTTTTGAGCCAGGTTCTCACTATGTTGCCCAGACTGGACTTGAGCTCCTGGGCTCAAGGTATCCTCCCATTCTAGGCTCCTGAGTAGCTGCACTACAGGTGAGCATTATCCAAGCATCCAGGGGCTTTCATTGTTTTTAAGATATGCTGCTAAACTTCTTAGGAGGATATATAAAGATATATAAAGTTGTGCCTAATCTTGTTCTGTCTTACTTCTCCAGATTCATTTCTAGCCTTCCTGCCCTTTGAACACACATATGATCCATACTCTAATTGTACACAAACTTATTACAATAAGCTATAGTCTCTCACTCTTCACACTTTTGCAAAGATTCTCCCCTTCTGGTTGGCATATACTCCTCCATTCCATTCTCCTTTTAATATATCTGGTTAACTATGACATCCTTCATAATTCAAGCTGTATGTCTCTTCTTTCAGTTATCTTTCCCTGTTCCTTCTGGCTCCCTTTAGGCCACTTTCTTGTCTCTGTCTTTCTAGACTCTATTATTACTGTGCAGTGTAAGTGTCTTCCTTTGACACTCAGCTATACTGTGAGCTTCTGGAGGTTAATGGCGAGCTATGTTATTCATTCATTCATGTACCCTCCAAGCACCTTAGGCCTTCAAGAAATAAATGATAAGTGAATGAACAAATAAATGACAAAGCCCTGAAGAAGAAAACTATTTAGATAATTTCCTAAAAAAATCACTCTGCCATAGGAACAGTAATAGATTAAGTCAATTTTAGCAACACCTTGATGTTGAACATGTCATATGGCTTTCTTATATCTTGGGGGTGCAAATAGAAATAATAGTGCAGTTTGAATCTCTTGAAACAATTGTAATTTGGAATATCATATCAGAGAGTTATGAAATAATGTTAAAGATTATTACTATTATTATAATTAGTTACCATTTACTTTACACTTATGTGCCTGCTCTCTGTTTAGAATGTTGCATGAAGCATCCTCTTTAAACTCCCAACAAACTCTGGAGGTGGATATTGTTTTTCTAACTTTACTGTTGAGGAAATTGATTCTGAGAGTTCGATATTATGTGATATGTGGAAGGTTGGCTGTTGGGCTGCCACCACAGTTCATATTCTAACTCCTAGACCCCCAGATTAAAAACCCTTTGTAATGGTTAGGGTTGATATTCTACATGAATGTCTAATGGGCTTGATAGAATGACATTCTCATGAGACTAGGAAAGTGAGTTCAGTTTTTAAGATCCAAAGGAAGGGGAGAATGCATCATTCAATTAATAAAATTTGGCTCAATTTCTCCCAAGGCAAGGCTGAAACAATGGTCTCTAATGAATTACAAGAGAAACAAATAATGTTTTAAATTTCTTAAAATTTAACTCCCAATTTCAATGGATTTTTTTTCAAATAAAGTTTGATTCAAGCAGCCCATTGCTTTTGTGATTAACTTTCATACAAAAGTTAAAAAGTACCTGCTTCAGAGACAATTCCATGTTCAAGATGATTGATGAGTGCTGAAAATAGAAGTTAAATGTCAATAAAGATAATCATTAACAGGTTTTTATATTAAACAATATGTTGTTTTATCTGATGCCATATATCACTGAAGTAAACATCAAGTCTCTGTTACATAAGGAAATAAAGTTCTTATTGTTTGCTATTTTCTTCCAAAATGTAGTGATTGTACCTTAACAGAAATGATAAAAAGTTATTTTGTAGTATCTTATTAAAGATAAGTGACTTAAATGTATAAGAAAATACTCTGCATTGAAAATTGTTCCCAGTTACTCACAAGTGTTCTTCTTCTAAATCTGCTTATCTTAACTGCTTCCATATAAGTCAAACTAGTGTTGACAAGAACATCTCCATAATTATTTATTACCTCTTTCTGCTCTTACTTAGATCAGTGGTTCAAAAAGTTGTTTAAGTAGCAGAGTTTTGAGAAGTTATAGTGCTCCTTGTGGATGATCATATTCTTTACGGAACACTACACAATACTGGTGCACATGATTTCACAATATGAACTAAGGCTAGTTTTGTTTGTAAAAAAATATGGCTCAATGCATGCAAGATAAAATCAGAAACATGAACACAAAAGCTAACAAACTAAAAAGGACAAGATGGCTTAAAAAATTTTCCATCTACCTATCATCTATCTACTATTTATTCATTTAGCACCAGCTCATATTTGCTAATTGACAAGCAGTATTAGATGTTAAAGATTTAAAGAAATATATGAAAAAAAATTTCAGTGAGAAAGTTCTATCAAATAGCATTTTTGTTATCAATTTTAAAAACATGGCCAAACTTATCAAATTATATACATACAATATGTTCAGTTTTTTGTTTGTATCTCAATTATACCTCAATAAAGCTGATTTTACAATAAGAAAAGAAAACAAAAGCTGGTCATTTATGTAATTTTAACAGCAGAATCCAAGTAATTCTTCTTGACCACTGTCTAACACCATTGAACGAGACTTGTTCTAATGTGCTTATGTGTGTTATAGGCACTGTATTTTTGGCCTCTGGGTTCACACTTATGTTTGACATCTGGCCTTCCCCTAGGAACCACCCAAGATTTTGTTTTGGTAGACACCAGATAGCAGGTCTTGTTCTTGTTAACTCCTTGACCACTATTATCATCACAACATAAACAGGATCCTGTGGAACTCAGCATGTTAATTAACTTGAGCCCCTCACAGAGGAAGGCTTTATTCTCTTTTAAAGCATTATTTACATGGAAACAATCCATTTTAATAAACTGTCTCAATAAAAATGTTATAATAAACAAAGCATATTTTTAAAAAAGTTTTTCTGAGAAAAAAAGTATTTCAAATGTTACAATCAGCAAATAATTGTAAACTTAATTTTACTGAGGATTTACAAAGCATGCCACAATTGAGAGTTATTGTTAAAAGTCAAAGACATTCTCCAAATCTGGAGAACTATTCTTCTAGATCTACTAACTCTTTTTGCCGGGTGAGAGGAGTTTAGCATACATGAAGACTTACTATGATGCAACCTATATATTTTTTTAATTTCCTTACAGAAAAGCAGGGACACATGATTTATACACTGGTCTATTTTTCTCAAATTCAATTGGGGAAAAATTGAAAAGTAAAATTTATAAAGTAGAAAAGCATCTGGATAGTAAAAGAGACCCCAGGCTTTCATTTAATGTGGCAATTTGTCTGACTATATGCTTAGAGAATGCAGTAATGAGAGGCAATCCCGGGAGCCCTGAATTCAGCGGTATTCTACAGAGGAAGGTGAGTCCCATTCCTAGTCGCTTATAAAACTTTTTCCACTGCTTTGGGAAAAGAAAACTAAGAAAGCTAATTTCAAAGGCTTCTTCAGGTAACCTGATGATGTATTAAAACAAGGGTGCCCTATAACAAGCGCTACTCAGTTTCAACATCTTTTCTCCTGGCACTCTGGACTGAGTCTTACCTTGAATATCTGCAACTCCTCCAGCACTACCTCTTCCATATTCCACTTTTCCTTTGAAATGCTGACAACTTTGAGGACAGTTCCAATGTCTGAAAAAATGCATAACCCATGATCCCATTGTTTCTATCTCAAAAATTAGTGGTAAGCATATCCCTAGAAACCTGCAAATCATTCCCCTCACTTCTCTTTAAATGCCTTTCAAAAAACAGATTAAATGAAACATGCATGAACTGAAGCTTAATGTTTAAGTTTTGTCCTCCCAAAATATAGCTTTTAGCTAGTAGAACACCCATTTATAGAGAGAATGTTAAAGGATGCATATTCAGAGTATATTCTTAACAAAAGTAATATATAGATATATATGTATAATTTAAATATTGTTTGAAACGTTAATAGAGCAAACGTTTTGGACCTTAACTGAAAAAGTTAAAAATATATTAAAATAACAAATTCTCTCTCTTCCTTCCATGTAATATATATTTATTAAGTAGTTATTATATCCAATTCACCATGAAAGACAGATATATATTCTTTTAATAATGTTGTCAAATGAACAAAAAAATCATTGAAGCTATCTGAGGGAAATTGTAGCTCACTCTTCAAATGTATTCTATCTTCAGAATCCTTATTAATAGATGAGAAATGGAAGGTTTGTTTAAAATTATTTAAGTTCAACTTAATACAAGGTTGATAATGCAAACCAAAAATTGACATTTAAAAGAGGTATCTTAAATACATCATCTTACATTGAAATTAAATGAAGTGTCAGGTTAGTACAGAAAGAAAATTAAAAGAACAGTTTAGAAAAAGAAAAAAAAAATCCCACTTTAATTTATATAATATAGGCATTTTTAAACTTCTGAGCACTGGGGTTGGAGTATAGTAACGTATATAATAATGATCCTGTTCGCACAAAATAGTCTGAATTATTTAATTGTTTTTAAATAACTCTGGGATCTTTAAAGAATATTAAATGTACATTTTTCCAAATGTCAAAATTAAAAACCTATCTTAGCAGTCTATAATTTTCTCAGTAAAGGTTAGATATTACCACCTAGTGGCTAAATGACATTCATTGCAGTGAACTGTTGAACACCTAGTTTTGGGTGGACAGTACAAATTAAGCGTCAAACTTGTGGGAATTAATAGCAACTAATTAATTCTACTTTTGACCCTTCAACAGCCATCTCTTTTGTCTTGGGAATATCCCTTATTTTTCTGGTTTGTGGAATTGCCATCTTCAAAATAATCAGGTTTGACAATCAATGACAAAGGTCCTCTGATTCCGTCACACACATACTTCCTAATAAACCTAACTTCTATAAGATCCATAATTTTTAAAAATAAAATTATTCTAAAATTGTTTTGAACTCTTAAATATCTATTCTAATAAAAAGTCTTGTTTGTTGAAAATTCTTAATTTTTAATTCTTTATGAAATGCTTGATCCATTAAGTTATATAATATGATATGGAATACAGTGCTTTTGTTTTAATGATACATGTTATCTTTACTGCCAGTAGAATTCCCATGACATTATTAGCTAATACTTTTACTTTTTTTGAGATTAAGTTTTTCTTTTTATAAAAACATTTTAATCATTTTATAGTTACTGAGTTGACAGACAAAGAAAAAATACAATGGGCTTAAAATCTGAGTCTAGGAAATACATTTTAATGCACAAAATTCAAGAAGAAAGATAATCTCCAAGAAGTTTCTATTTAAAGGTCTTTACAAAGTAATGTTTAATGTTTCTGAAAATCTATCTTAAGTCAACTAAGTCAGTGATTCTCAAAATCAGGTGAAGGAATCTTTTGGGAATATACTTGCAAAGAGAGGGAAAGGCAAAGTTTGAAAATAAACATTACTTTGCCCTACTTGTTTAATTGTAGTTCAAAATCATTCAACAAATATGTATTGAGCATGTAATGTAGAGTAGACACATTGCTGTCAAATACATTTTGAAATCTCAGATTTGAAGTTGGGAGATATTTATGATTATCAATTAAAAGCTACATAATTTTAAGAAATGCTGACAAGGTTTTATCTAATAATTACTCATTTTTATTTTGACCAATAAATATTTTTGAAGTTGTTCTTCTCTTTGTCTAATAATGAAAAATTCCTTTTGAAAAAATCCTAATCTAGTTTTAGCTTACCTGTTCCAAGAAACATTACATCGTACTGGCCATCTTCTGCAATGACATGATCCACCACTATCTGTGTCAGTCTGTAATCCACATTGATTCTCTTGAACGTTGGTCCTCCTGCAACTGGGTATACGGACTTATACATCACAGAGTGCCGCTTTATGAAACTGATGACATCATCTGGAAAATCTCGGGTGGACTTAATCAGTGGGTCATAGGTTTTGCTTGGACACTGAAAATAAATGTGGAGGAAAGTAAAGACATTGTTTATGCACCTGAGAAGTTCACACTTATTTCCAATAAAATTTGTATAGCTTATCATCAATAATATTAAATGAATGGACAACAGAGTCAATATGGAATCATGTGTACTTGTAAATAAATGCAGCGTGCCTCTAATAAATTTAAACCCAGTTTTCTCCTTCAAAAATTTTCTAAATTACCTCTGCATTTTATAATGTTTCCATAGTGAATTCTTTTCTTATGAAGATTATTTCTTCTGAAGATTGTTTCTAATGAAGATATTTGAAATCTAACTTGAAATAACTGTTAAGAAACTGATCTATAAACATGAGAACACGTGGAAAGCCATTATTTTCAATTTCCTTTGAGTAATTTATAATTTCAGTTCAAATGAAACCATGTTTAATTAAAAAATAAAAAAGGAACAAACAGTTCACAAAAATTAATTTCAAAGTATTTAATAGTTTGAAATTGTAATTATGTAGTTTCTTTTATGATTAGTGTGAAAATTACACTTTGAACAATTCAACAGCTCTTCTCCTAAAGAGTCTGCAAAGAAACTGTTAGGGAATTTTATACTTCTTTCTAAAATTGCCTTATGTGCCTTTCAGCATCCACTAAATCAATAGTTAGCATGACCTGCCCCCTGGTGGTAAGAGTAAAAAGTTCAAAATGGTTCAAATCAAATGAATTTTATGTGCCTTTATCCAAAAATAAAGGGGAAAAAACACCTTATAATTAGACTTTTTTTTTCCAGAAAATATCACCTCTCCCACATCCTAAATCTATTTTATGTTTAAACATATTGCAATTTAGGAAGGTACCTCGTATAGAACGATTCTTTTATCACATTTGAATTCTCAATGGACTAATGCATTCTTTTGGAGAGGAAAACTTTAGTCAATTGATGCAGTCATAGAGAATAAAATGATTGACAGTAAGGACAGATTTTTTTAATGGTGCTTTTCTTTGTTTCAGTTTTTAGAGAAGTTGGAAACAGTCTCCATGGAACTGAACCATTTAAACTTGGCACTAATTAGAATCATGACAAGGCTCCAAAAACATAATGTACTTCTCAAAATATTCAAGAGGGTCATTCTTAGGGAGCTGAAGATACTAGAACTAGTCCCAATATTTGACTTTGACCCCAAATTTTATACCAATAAAATCATAATGGCTTATTATGAATTAGAAGAAATATCAAAGAGGTTGTACTAAAAGTCTGTTAATGTTTTTCTATAAATAATTTAAGAATATCTTTATCTTTAACAAAAATTTTCAATGTCTGGTATTAAGAAACTGATACTTTCTGGATATTTAGTTATTTGTCCCAGGTCTGTACCAGAGAGATTAGAAACGTCCTAGAATATTATCCACTTTGCATTTACTTAACATATTCTTAACTGGATGTTGGTCTAAAGATCTAAGTCTGCACGTTCAGTCATTATTTCCAGCACTTAACCTTCAGCCAAGCGGAATCCGTCAACTCAATAATGGAAGAACCTTGCATTAAATAGATTAAGCAGGGACTCAAAATGGATATGGAGCTCAAATGATACAAAGCTCTTGTCCAATTATAGGCTGCATGTTTGAGGCTCAGTCAAAGACAATTCATAGTAGGCTTATAATGCCTATGGTTCAATCTGGTTGGTGTATCATTAAAATCAAACCCAGAGCAAGATTTTGCCTGCACACAGTTTTTAAAAAGCCCTCCAACTTAAGAAAAAATCACTTTTGACTTTGCAGCTGTAGTTGTGCAGTAGCCAAAGTTTTCAAAGAAATAATATCATGACATTCAAGCCGTAGTTTTTGATATCAAATTGTTAAATAATTAGAAATTTTAATGCAAGAAAGTATAGCTGAATGAAAATATGAACACTTAGAAAAAATAAATATGAATTTTCCTCATTGCTCCGACAAAAATGGTTTAAGTGTAATAAAATCTAAGGCGGAAAAAAAGGAAGGAAAACCTGGTTTCTATTGACTATAAAATGATCTTTGAAAATATATATTTTTTCTTATGGCAGCTTTTCCTCATGGCATGTTGCCAGTGTTTGGACAAGATCTTTATCCTCTCAATTGCTATGCATGATATCTCAGGTCTGCGTCTCCACTATGCTTGCACAAATGAAAATGATTTGGTAGAGTTACTCTCTGAGGTTTAGGATAGTACAGTTTGAATCAAATATTGTTATTTCAGTACATTCAAACCAGTGGAATTTTTGCGTTGATATCATATAGCTGTGCTGCACACAGATCTAAAAATAATGAGATGCCAAGCAATGTATGTAGGTAAGAGTAAAGTAGGAAAGAAAAATTTCGTAAAAGAAAAGAGAAAGTGTAGGGAAATGATACATCTAAAGCGGATGGTCATTCATATTCAGTTATTTTCCTTTAACAAATTCTAGAAAATTCTCCTATGGCAGCTATACATCTCAGGTATTAGAAATCTAGTGGGTTTTTCTCCGTATGTATGTACTTTTAATTTCTAGGTATTAACACAGCCCACCTGAACATACCATACGGGGACATTTATTTCTGCCTCCAGTTTTCTTAATTTGCCAGATTAGCTCCTAGGAGAGTAGGAAATAAATCAGGAAACTTATCTGTGTCTCTACCCGCTGTTGTAAAATACTCAAAGACAGTATTCTTCTCTTGTGCTGGAAATATTAATACCAGCACAAAAGAAGAAGAGAAAATAGAACCTGCCTAGACACACCCTGAGATGAAAGTGGAAACCCAACAGCAACCAGCCCTGGTTCAGGGCCTATCTCCCATGGCTGGCTGCCATAGCTGGCTAGGTGTGATCATGTTATGCTTGGCAAGTCTGCGTGTTTGTCTAGGGCCTTTAGTAGTGGAATGGGAAGCAATGGATAAGAGGAGAAAAATGGTTTTTATCCAAAGAGAGAACTTTTCCCCTTGGCAAAGCCCCAGACAGCTGTCAAAGGTTTTTTCTCCCCGCAGCTTCAGGCTATTCTCTACAGGTTGCAGTTTCCTTTGAAACAAGTCAGAGGAATGACTAATGTGAGGGAAGACATGGCAAAAGAAAGACTGAACTAGGCTTTCATTTTCAGAAGCCTGAGTTTTATTTATAGAGTAAAAATGCAAATGTAACAGTTGCCGTCTTATACCCCTGCTTATTCATCGAAGAGTCAACCTACAACAGATAAAGGCAAGGAAAGACCCTGTATTAAATATCAGAGACAAAGAGGCCGGGGCAAACATACAGAGGTAATTTCTCTCCTTCCCTCTCCCTCTCCTTTTCTTTAAGGTTCCCTTTCTCTTAAAGGAATTTCTATGCCAGAAAAAGCAAAACACTATTGAACATAGTAAATAGCCTGGGATTTGAAGAACTTCATTTTAAAAGCAAATTGTTTGCCCTCTGGAAAATAAAGCTGAAAGCCAGTTGGGAAGGTTAATTCCTTTTGGAAGCCCCTTGACTATCTCCATTTTAGGGAAACATGGCCTACACACAGTTAAAGGGAAATGATAGTGATATTTTGTGATACGTGTCCTTTAGTGTAATCTGTTTTAGGAATCTGGACTCAGGATATCCAGAGTCTAGTCCTGCCTCTGCTTCTCCCTTCTAGAACCAACACCAGGAATGAATGAACAGAACTAGAGATATCCTCAGTAATTTAGAGAGATGATAAAGTAATTGTTATCCAATAAGTGGAAGGTGATGGAGTGAGCAAATATTAAAGAGAAAATAAAACTGTGAATTCAATATGATAGAGAGACATGAGTGAGCCACTGATGCCTATAATGAGATATCCCCAAAAGTTTTCCACAGATTTTGAATTAATTAGGAAAGACTTGCTTAAATGAAACAAACAATAGCAATAAGATGTTAGCTACATTCCTCAGGTACACAAATGGGAAGATAGTGTGAGACATTATGAGAGAATTCCTGCATCATACTCTGTAGTTTTCAGTCTCCTTTGGTAAGACTATCATAGTCTAACACTAGACAAATTAATAGAAAGTTCTGGATATTATTTTTGAATTACATTTTTTTCTTTGGTCAGTTACACCTATGTTTGAAAGTCAACTATAAAACATGTCTTTTAAAACTCTTACTTAATGGGATCAGCATAGTTTACAATTAAAATCTAATGTATGAGGTTAAGAAATACATATATTCTGAGAACCATCAGCTCCTTAGGAAAAGAGTGTATTTAGAATCATGCTAAAGCTCAAGTAAAATAGTTTAGGTGGGGCAGAAAGAGAAAACAGGGTAGCTAAAAAGTTTTGAACTTGTGGAATCCATGGTTACCTCAAACCCCTGCTGTTGAGAAGATTAAGCAAGGTAAAAATTGGAATTTCTAAGCAATATTCCAGTTCTAGTTGAAGAACACATTACATACTTCAAGTCCACTATGGAAACCCAATTGTTGATATTATGTATTATTATCCTATGATCTATCTTCTCCAAGATTTACTTCTGTAAAGCAAAATCAGAAACCAAGCTCAGGCATGGCAGTGATGCCTTGATATGTTAGAGTAAAAAAGATCTTTCTACAACCGAACGGTATGCCAGGGCCCAGAGCTGGTTCAGGGTAGTGCATTTGTAAGACGAATTTTTCAGTGGACCCAGAATCAAAAGAACTTTATAATTTTTCAATGACTCTTACAATGTTAGAAAGTCTAATGATTTAGTGGGAAATAAATGACTGTCAGACACATCTACACGTATATCTCAAGTTTGGAGGTTTTATCTTATAGCAAAAAGGGGGAACAATAAAGGCCCTACAGCAAAGAGAGGAAATTTTTAGCATTTGCCATTGATTTTCTCCAGTGAAAACCAATGTGAGTTGTACATATGGGGCTTTTTGTTAGACAAAGATTTGAAATCTTGCAGAGGGAGAGATATTTCATTATTTTACATTGGTGGTAGTTGAAAATATTTTTTTCTTAATAAAGTTTTACAGAATATTCTTAGTCAAGTTTTGTTAACCAAGATTTATAGGATATTTTATTTTACTTTATTTTCTCACTAAAAGGACATATTATATTCAGAAGTAAAACCATGGAAGACAGGAAGAAGGAGGTTAGCTTAGTGTTTTTGATGTTTTATGCGGCTTAATGTTTGTTTTCCCAACATAAAAGGAATATTAAACAAGGGTCTCATTGAACACAGCAGCAGCTTTTGGGGTTCTGTGTCTCACTTTGAAATCTGAGCTGACCATGCACACAAACATCTGTGTCTAAGTGACCTGCAATTGGTATTGATCTTGGCACCACCTACTATTATATGGGTGTTTTCCAGCAAGGAAAAGTAGAGATAATTGCCAATGATCAGGGAAACCGAACCATGCCAAACTATGTCACCTTTACGGATACCAAACAATTGATTAGTGATACTCCAAATAATCAAGTTCCAATGAACCGTGCCAGCATGGCTTTTGATGCCAAATGTCTGACTGGATGCAGATTTGATGATGCCATTGTCCAGTTTGATATGACATATTGGCCTTTCACGGTGGTAAATGATGCTGGCAGGCCCAAGGTCCAAGTAGAGTATGAGAGAGACAAAAAGCTGCTACCCATAGGAGGTGTCTTCTATGGTTCTGACAAAGATGAAGGAAATTGCAAAAGTCTACCTTGGGAAGACTGTTACCAATGCTGTGGTCACAGTGCCAGCTTACTTGAATGACTCTCAGCATCAGGGCTATCAAAGATGCTGGAACTATTGCTGGTCTCAATGTACTTGGAATTATCAATGTGCCAATTGTCGCTGCTATTGCTTACAGTTTAGACAAAAAAAAAAAAAAAAAAAGGTTGGAGCTGAAAGAAATGTGCTAATCTTTGACCTGGGAGGTGGTGTTTTTGATCCTCACTATGGAGGATGGAATCTCTGAGGTGAAATCTACAGCCAGAGACACCTACTTAGGTGGAGAGGACTTTCACAACTGAAATGTCAACCATTTTACTGGTGAGTTATAGTGCACACATGGAAGGACACCGTGAGAACAAGAGAGCTGTCTGGCACCTCTATACTGCTTGTGAACTTGCTAAACATACTCTTCCAGCACTGAAACCAGTACTGAGGTCAATTCTCTTCATGAAGGAATCCACTTCTATATCTCCATTAATTGTGCCCAATTTGGAGAATTGAATGCTGAGCCTGTTCTGTGGCATTCTGGACCCCATAGAGAAATCCATTTGAGATGTCAAACTAGACAAACCACAGATTCCTGATATTGTCCTGGTTGGTGGTCCTAATTGTATCCCCAAGATTTAGTAGCTTCTCCAAGGCATCTTCAATGGAAAATAGCTGAATGAGAGCATCAACCCTCATGAAGCTGTTGCTTATGATGCAGCTGTCCAGGCAGCCGTCCTATCTAGAGACATCTCAAAATGTTCAAGATTTTCTGTTTTTGGATGTCACTCCTCTTTCCCTTGATATTAAAACTGCTGATGGAGTCATGGCTGTCCTCATCAAGTGTGATGCTACCATTCCTACCAGGCAGACACAGACCTTCACTACCTACTCTGACAAGCCTAGCATGTCATTGCCAAGGATAAAAACCTACTTCGCAAGTTTGAGCTCACAGGCGTACCTCCTGCACACCATGGTGCTCATCAGATTGAAGTCACCTTTGATATTAATGCCAAGGGCATCCTCAATGTCTACTCTCACTGATGACAAGGGCCATTTGAGCAAGGAAGACATTGAGCCTATGGTCCAGGAAACTGAGAAGTACAAAGCTGAAGATGAGAAGCAGAGGGACAAGGTGTCATCCAAGAATTCACTTGATCCCTATGTGTTCAACATGAAAGCAACTGCTGAAGATGAGAAACTTCAAGTCAAGATTAACAATGAGCACAAACAGAAGATTCTTAGCAAGTGCCATGAAATTATCAACTGGCTCGACAAGAATCAGACTGCAGAGAAGGAAGAATTTGAACATGCACAGCAAGAGCTGGAGAAGTCTTCAAGTCCATGATAACCAAACTGGACTAGAGTGCAGAAGGCATGCTAGGAGGAATGCCAGGGGGATTTCCTGGTGGTAGAGCTCCTGCATCTGGTGGTGCTTTTCAGGGCCCACCACTGAAGAGGTTGATTAAGACAACCCAACTATAGATGTAGCATTCTTCTACATAGTTAAAACACCGAAGAACCCAAATTTGTATCAAATTCTATGGCAGTTTTACGGTCGAGCTGCTATACTAAATTACTGGGCATTCTCAATACTTGAATATGGAACATGAGCACAAGGAAAGGAAATAACATTGCACTTTATAAACATTGTATTGTAAGTGGAAAATGCAATGTCTTAAATAAAACTGTATTTAAAGTTGGTATCAAAAAAAGATTAAACAAAAGAAAACTAACCACAACCTCCACCCCTGAATAAAAAAAAAGATTTTGAGCTGAAAATGAGCATTTATTTAATGTCTCTAGTGTTGGACAGTGGAAGAGGCAATGCTGGCGTGAGAAGTCCAGTCTCTAGGTACTCTACCCAGGATGCTTCTTACCATGTTATGATGTTCCTTAAATATGGCTTTGTTTCAAATTTTTGAACCAAAAAATTTTCAGGAATCCTTAGAATCACCATTTTTCACCACCTATTTTTTTTTTTTGAAACTACCTAGATAAAAAAAAGTAAAAAGAACAGGCTTTTCTGGTGTTTGAGCTATTAATAAAAATTATCATGCATTTATGTTCATCAGTGTCCACATAGTAAAATGAATTTATGAAATATTTAAAAAGTACCTATAACTACCTCCTTTTATTTCCCACCAAAAAATGGAGACTTAGTTGGGAAATCCACGTGTAAGCTTTCATCTGTAAAAGTAAAACTAAAACAACTAACATTTAACGCGGTAACAATTTGGGAGCAAATGGAATTTAAAAAGGAATCATTATTTTTACAAAATCAGACATTTAGTAGTTATTTAAAAATGGTGGCAAAATGATTCAAGCAAAGTAAAACATGCATTTTATATTTGAACTTCAAAAACAAGTATTTTCTCCTCACCTTTTTGATAAGGGAATGGTTTAAAACTGAAACTCACTTTTGAGGAAATATTTACTAATACTTTACACTTATGCATAAATCTTAAAAATCCCTTGGCTACACAGAATAAAACTGCAGAGTACATCAGTTATAAAAAACCAACTATCAAGTTGGAAATTTTCTGCCTTTACAAATCTTTCTTAGATTCTGGGTTTTCTAGCAGTCTGTTATTTTGGGCTGGATTCAATTTGGTTTCTATATCTGACCTGTATGATTGATTCACTGTATTATGGACTTTTTAATATTTTATTTCACTTGGAACTTCTTATTACCAAAACCTGGCAGGGCAATAATGATTGAAAAAATCCACCTGAACAAAATATGGCTTGTTCAAATATTCTATTTGGACACCAGAGGGCAGAAGAATCATTTGAAGTGAAGGAATTCTATAATATATCCTTTTGCATTCTTGCTTTTCTAGGCTTATTAACATTGCAGAGCAGTGATGTCATGGTTAAGCTAGGAGTTTAGGTTTGACTTTTTGTCAAAGAAGTACAGCATTCTGTCAAAACCAAAAACTTAAAGTAAGCTTGACACACTGAAAGTTGTAGTGTTTATTTAACTGAGTGATAATGTCAACAGAAGTCTCACCACTGGGAGAACAACTTAGAATTCAATCTTAATAGCAATACAGATGCAGAAAATGTAAAAACAATTTTTTAAAAAATAACCTACGTTAAAGCTTTAACTTAAGTGTAATATGGCTTTTAGTAAAGGTTCTAACAATTTCATAGAAAGCAAAGTATTCAGCAATACTTTTATTAAAGTAAGATGTGTTCCTCTGAATTGCAGTAAGAGAAATGGTAAGTGTAGTAAAGTTTCAAAATTCATTATTACTTGTGCAGAGAATAGACAAATCTCTGGAAAAATAGCATAAAGTTCTGTTTGGTTGCTCATTTGTTATCCCTTTGAAGGTAGAACAAAAGGTAGGTTAATGGCTTTTGATTTGGAGTTAAGTAGAGTAAGTTTCATTCCAGTCATAACAATTCATAAACTGTGAGAGCATGAACATATGTTTACCTTCGCTGGGCTTGTTTCTTATCTATAAAATTGGGATAATAATACCTACTCTGTGTGTTTATTTTAAGAATGTAGTGAGATAACGTATACGGGCTTATCAGAGTGTCTGGATCATAAGAAGTGTTCAGTAATGAGTTTGATCAAAATATTCTGGATATTTAGAGAGATAGAATCATAACTTTATATAAACAAAAATTACTGAAATTGGGCTGCTTTTAGAAAACAAATAAGAAAGAATGCCAGGAAATAATGTAAAATTCAATGCAGCTAATTTTAGGTGGGACATTCGGCAGTATATCAATCAGATAAATATTAGGAAATAAGTGCATATTACAGAATATTAACGAATAGAGAGAGAAGACTGATCAGAAAATTCAACATCCCTCTTCATTCCACTGTTTTTGGCAATATGATATTGGGAAAGTTATTTAATTATTCTGGGTATTCATTCCCTTCCCTGTAAAATGAGGGTGAATTACGTGGTCTTTATCATTCACTCCAGTTCTTACATTCTCAAATTTTACAGGCATAGTTTATCTGATACGCTGTGAAATATAATTTCAATGATTTAATGTGTAGTGTTATTAATGGTAAAGTGTATTTGTATAACAGATTTTCACATCACATATATGATGCTCCTAAATTCAACATCAGTATTCTAAATATAAAACATAATGTAGAAAAGCACACTAATAGCATTGAGTGCTAATAAGAAACAAGATGTTGTAAAAATGACTGAAGAAGCAATGAAGTAAAAGGCTACCTATCTATGCATGATTTCAGACATTTTCAAATTTGGTCACAGTGATTTCAAAGAGAATACATAAGTAGCTAGTTATTTGGAAATAGCTGATGTCCTTAGCTACCACGGATTTCTAGATAAAGCCTGCAAACATGTTAGTAGAAATGATTGTCACTATACTAACACAAAATCAATTGGATAGGGTTGATCAATAAAAATATTTAAAAATACCTCAACATTATTAGTCTCATACTAATAAATTTATATTATGTGGTTTCTGCTTATCTAAAGAGAGCATAGATATAACAGTTTAACTCAGTACAACCAAAAAGAAAATCCTCCTTCTTTAACCACAACTGTAAAAATAAATAAATTTTGACAGTAACTGGCATGTTTAAAATCTCTTTAAGTTCTATAAAAGGACATAATATTTGATGAAAGAGAGTTTTCTTGGTGGAGTCTTTCAGAAGGAGACTTGGTCTTTCTGTCTCTATTACTGATTACAGCCTTAATAGGGGCTACGGTGGAAAGATTCTTTATTAGGCATGGTTCTCAGAGCTCAACTTCAGGTGCAAATGTGTTTACATATTTTTAAAGGCATAAAAATTGTATGATAAATATTAATGTTGAGAAAAAATTGAGTAATAACTTCCTTAAATGACCCTTCTTTAGTCCTAATCATGCTTTTGTTTTCCCAAGTTGTTAGAAAGTAAAAATTAAGTATTTATTTGATGGTTTAGATGCAGGCTATTTGCTAAATAATTTTGAACTTTTCAAGACAATTTCTTACAGCATAAAGACTATATTCTGAGTAGTCGGCAGAAGAGACCAGTATGTTGAACATAATTTGGTGTTTATTTTCTCATTGATGAAAAACACTTCCCACTGACATTTTTATTTTCCTACTTTCGGGGAGTCTCTTACTCACGTTTCAGAGAAGTGTCTGTGTGCTTATGAGGACAGTCATGTAAAACGTGAGTTCTCTTTAAGCCTCGCATGACATTCACAGCTCTTTTAGGCAGCAGCAGGGAAGGCGGTGACAACCACCACTTGTAAAGCATCTTAACTTACACTCGAGTTGGAAAATAATGTAACCAGGATGCATCAGCATGTAGTCATTTCGATACTTATTTTCTATTTCTGAGTATTATAGGACTCAACTGCTGGGTCTACATATGCAAATAATTTGTTGTTGTTGTAATTAATGTGAATAGTCTCAGCTTCCAATTCATTCTCCTATAATATCTAGATAATTGAAAAATAATATGGCCTGAATGGTGACAGTCTTTATTAAAAACAAATAAAAACAAACAAAAAACCCCAAACCAAAAAACTCATGTAGTAAGAAAAGGCTCAGAATGTGACAGTCTATAATATTTAACCCCAAAGTATTAACAGAGTAAAATTGATCCTTCTAGAGCTGTTTTCCCAATTTTAATCACACACATACACACACACACACACACACACACACACACACACAATCTCCCAGGGAAGGTAAAAATATATAATTTAACATTTTTGTAGTGCAACATCATAGTGTAAGAACTAATAACTGGGAGTTATTGTAAGAACAATGACCTTGAATTTACAGTATGATAGTAAATAGCCAAGAATTTGGAGTTTGGGGTTGAAACCCAGCCCTATCACTAATTAGCTTTGTGACCTTGGGCAAGTTACTGTACCTGTCGGTGCCTGACATTCCTCATCTGTATAATGGAATTAATAATAATAGCATGTGTTTCATGGGATTATGATCAGTATTAAGTAAGTTAATGTTTGTAAAACCTTTAGAATAATATCCCCATATCCTAAGTGCTATATTACTATTAAAATATAAGTAAATGAAATGAGTAAGTACAGCTGTGATATTCAATGAATAAAAAATAGTTAAAAAAGCATTAGAATGACCTAGGCCGGGCATGGTGGCTCACACCTGTAATCCCAGGACTTTGGGAGGATGAGGTGGGCGGATCATCTGAGGTCAGGAGTTCGAGACCAGCCTGGTTAACCTGGTGAAACCCCGTCTCTATTAAAAATACAAAAATTAGCTGGGCATGGTTGTGCACACCTGTAATCCTAGCTACTCTGGAGGCTAAGGCAGGAGAAGTGCTTGAACTCGGGAGGCAGAGGTTGCAGTGAGCCAAGATTGCACCACTGCACTTTGGCCTGGGCAACAGAGCGAGACTCTGACAAAAAAACAAAAAACAAAACAAAACAAAACAAAATTAAAAAATGGGCTAAGTACTTCAATAGACATTTCTCCAAAGAAGACATACGAATGGCCAATGGGTACATGAAAATTATTCATCACTAATCAACAGAGAAGTTGAAAACAAAACCACAATCAGGTATCACTCCACATCTGTCAGGATGGATAATATGGATAACATCATAAAAACAAAAGATGAGTATTAAGGAGGATGTGGGGAAATTGGAAGCCTTGCACACTGCTAGTGGTAATGCAAAATGGTACTGCCACTATGGAAAACAGTGTGGCAGTTCCTCAAAAAATTAAAAATAGAACTACTACATGATGCAGCAATCCTACTTCAGGATATTTATCTAAAACAATTGAAATTAAGATATCAAAGATATATGAGATATTATCACTCTTAGATTCATTGCAGCACTATTCACAATAGTCAAGACATGGAAACAACCTAAATGTCTGTCAACAGATGAATGGATAAAGAAAATGTGTGTGTGTGTGTATGTGTGTGTGTTATATGTATACAATATATCTAGGATTATATATCATATATCCTATATACATATATATGAGACTTGTATCATATATAAATGTATATATGATATATGATACATTTATACATACATCATACATATATTTATATATGATATATGCATCATATATGTATATATCTATATACAGGTGATGCATATATAATATCTTTATATGTGCATATAGATATCATATATATGGGATGTGTGTATGTGTATATATATAAAATGGGACTGCATTCATCCTTGAAAAACAAGGAAATTCTGCATACACTATGCAACAACATGAATGAATCTTAAGGACGTTATGTTGAGTGAAATAAGCCATTTGCAGAGAAATAAACACTGCATGATTCCACTTATATAAGGTATCTATAATAGTCAAAATAATAGAATCAAAAAGCAGAATGGTGGTTTCCAAGGGCTAGGAGGGAGCAAAATGGGAAGTTACCAATCAATGCACACAAAGTTTCTGTTAGCTAAGAAGAATAAGCATTAGAGATCTGCTGTACAACATTGTACCTATACTCAACAATAATGGATGGTAAATTAAAAAATTTAAGGGGATAGGTCTCATGTTAAATGTTCTTATCACATTATTAAAAAGAGAGAAAATTAAAAAAATGAGTCCTGAAAATCATATTGTTTGAAAAAAAACATGTTTCCACAAACATCGTTATTACTTTATAATCAAGTTAGAAACCATCCTTGAAACAAATTTATATTGGGGAATTATTAAGGGGAAAATAGAGATGGTTGTATAGCATACTTCCCAAATTTAATTAAGTTATATAGCAGGAAGATGGAAACAGAATTCGGAAAGCATAGCTACCAGCTGGTTCTCCTTTAAGAATGAACATATGAAAAGATAATATTCAGTAAAACTTGAAGAGTTAAGTCAATATTTTCCTCAGATATTTTGGTAATTATTTTAAACCTCTTGGTAGTAATATTCAGAATAAATCCAAAATGAAAAAAAAATTTTTTTCCTCTTTAATATTAGGTCAATAAATAATCCTGATGTTAAAATAACTTAAACTGTCATAATAATATCAACAAATGTTTTAAAAATCCCTTCACTTAAAATGCATGTAACAGCATTTTGAACTGCAGTTGTTTTTTGTTTTAAACAATTGTATAAACTCTAAAATACATTCTTACTTACATCATTTGTGCTTTAAACATGATTCATACTATTTGAAAAAAATTTTTGACTGAGGGTTTTCTAAAATTCCTTTCCCATTTAAAAAGTGCATGTTATTCTAAGGTACAATTAAGTGAAGAAAAGATAAATGCATACCAAAAAAGAGATAAATTAAGTGAACCATTATGATGTGTTCTTTTCAAAGTAGAAGTGGGGATTAGAAGACTCGAGCTATCTGCAGAGCTGTATGTGAGAAATAATACTTCTTTGACATTTCCATCTAATTTAGAATAGCTGTCATTCTAGATAACTAAATCTTTCCAATGATTCTATAAACATAAACATGTTGGGGATAAGCTCCACATTGTCCCCGTGGTTAGATACTTATGACATAGTCCATTGTTTCTCAAAGTAACTAAAATTCTTACTGAAATGTTAAATTTCAATGAAGGATGAAAATGCTAATACTTCACTGCAAATAAATGTTATTACAGCACATGTGGCTCTGGTGAATAGCAGAATTTATTACAATTAAATTAAGAATTAAATATGAGCTTAAGAAAATAATTTGATTATTAAGTTGGATACATACTGTACCAGGCCGTGGATAAGGAATTCTCCCATCATACTGCACCCAACGATGGTCTGCACTTTCCTTATGAGCATATGGACCATTAAAAACTGCTCTGATGTCAGCCATGCTATACACACAAACAGCAGAGCCTTTGAAGATGGAGCTGGAAAAAAAAAGCATCATCATTCAATCATTCACTGATGAATTCAATAAACATTGACTGAGCACATACTATCAGCAGGTGCTGTGGACAAAATTTACTTAGCACATTAAATTTGATGGGTACTGTAGACACAATGTGCCTACGTCCTCAAGTGGCTTACAGCCAAGCAATTCTAAATAAAGTGTAATAATAACTTCATCGCCAGTAAATATAGTAAGCAAAGTAGAACATGCATGGGTACCCAGTATAGGGCTGCCAGGTAAGTTTTCAGGGAGGAGGTGTCATCTAAATTGGCACCTGATAGATAAACAGAAATTATATAAAACAAACCCTGGAGGATAAAGAGGAATATGCATGAAAGAGTGTTATATTTATTTACATGTTCTTCCATTTTATTTAAAGTTATTATGGCATAATGCCTTCCAAAGGCTTACAAAATAAAAAGTGACATTATTTACTTATTAAAAAGAATTATTTAAATATTTGAATAATAATCCTCTCGTTTGTTTTCTTACAATGAATGAATATCCATAAACATTAGTTGCTAAATGATATATTTATATGATTTTTATTAAACTGATTTTAAAATGTTGAAACAATCTTTTTCTTTTTGGTCCTCCTTGAATTTATGAGTTTATGTATTACAGTAGCTCATCTGATACTTAATTATAATTACACAGGATTAGAGAAAGTATTAAGAGGCAAAAAACTCCAAAGGAATTTTTTCAAATTTTTGCAAACTACTAAAAATTAACACTATTCAGATGTCTTTTTTTGCTTTATTTCTAGAAATTAAAAGATATTTTCTTTGAGTTGAAAACTTTTAATCATTCCCATTTTCAAAAATGAGATCAACCTTTATGATCTAAAAAATATATTAAAAATCTTAGCATTTCCCACCTATGAGTGAGAACATGCGGTATTTGGTTTTTTGTCCTTGCGAATAGGTGGGAATTGAACAATGAGAACACATAGACACAGGAAGGGGAACATCACACACCGGGGCCTGTTGTGGGGTGGGGGGGAGGGGGGAGGGACAGCATCTGGAGATACGTCTAATGTTAAATGACGAGTTACTGGGTGCAGCACACCAACATGGCACATGTATACGTATGTAACTAACCTGCACGTTGTGCACATGTACCCTAAAACTTAAAGTATAATAAAAATAATAATAATAATAACTTAGCATTAACAAATAAGCTAATGATTCTCTAGCATAGTAACTCAATTATTAATATTCTTGGAATGATATTAATGGGAACCTTTGAGAGGTAATGGTAAATAGGTAGGTGGAAGAAAACTAGCTCCTGAGAATGGAGGTGGCGTTGCCACAGAAATCACAGAATCTGCCTAGGATATTTTAAAGGTATGATGCCTCATGCTTAATGGCATTGCCATTATTGCAGGTTTATTATGTCTTCTTGTTGGACAAAGGATATGACATACATTCCAATGTCACCTTGGTCTTTAGGATGGCATTAAAAACAAAACAATAAAGTATAGGAAGAACAAAGAGCTAACTTGTAACTTCACACTCTGGGTGGGCAGAAACTTAATAGGAGAAAAAAACGAACTATCTTGGGGCTATATTTTCCTGGCACATATCCGTGCCTTGTGTGTGGAGCACAGTGACTTCAAAGAAAGTTCTGCAATTGGAAAGGTGCCAAGAGAACTAGGATTGAGATACTTGACCAGAGGCACTTCTTGTACCTTTTTATATTAGGATATAAATTAACAGGAAAATGGAGTCCAAAATAGCAGCTTCCTAGGATATCTTCTTTATTCTCATATTTGAACATTCATATTCTGTATCTTATAATTAACCAAACAGTATTTTGTTTTCTGATCTATTCTGAACCAATAGTGCATTTCAGTTTATGAATAAGGTATTGTGAACAAAATGAGGATTGTGCCACAGAAAAAAGTTAAACTATATTGTTCATATAAAATAGATTAAAAATTTATTCACTAGGAGGCAGTAAGACCTTTTCTTCAGTACCAATATCAGTATCTTCAATTCCTCCTATACTGATGTCAATATACATTGATAAAGTTTGAGAGCAGAGCTGTGGAAAATGTGAAAACTATTTCCAACAATATAGGCTGTAACAGGGAACAGGAGAAAGGGTGTGCTTTGAACATAGTCAAATTTAAGTTACTGAATATTAAATAAAATTAAGTCTGTGGGGCCCCCATATTCTTTGAGAAAGTTTCACAGATGCTAGTACAACTTGTTTTGTTTTGTTTGAGACAGAGTTTTGCTCTTGTTGCCGGGGCTGGAGTGCAATGGCACAACCTGCAACCTCCGCCTTTCAAGTTCAAGTGATTCTCCTGCCTCGGCCTCCTGAGTAGCTAGGATTACAGGCGCCCGCAACCACACCTGGCTAATTTTTTGTATTTTTAGTAGAGATGGAGTTTCACCATGCTGGGGAGGCTGGTCTCAAATTCCTGACCTCAGATGATCCACCCGCCTTGGTCTCCCAAAGTACTGGGATTTACAGGCATGAGCCATCGTGCCCACCGATGCTAGTACAACTTTTAAGGAAGTCGGAAGGTCTCAATGATAAGTACAGGAAAGCATTATGCAAAAAGAAGACAGAAATACAGGAGTAGAAAACATGAAATTGTCTTCACTTTCAGTTTTATTTTTACTACTAATAGTCCGCTCCTCTTTGAGCAAGTGATGAAAACATTCTTTGCCTAAATTAGTAAAGCAGTGAAATAGTCATAACAGCCACACCTGTCTTTGTAGGGTAACTGGGAAATGATAATAGGACAGCATGTGATGATGTTTTAAAGGTTAAGAGTGTCCCATCTCATGATTATAGCCTTACCAATGAACTTAACCATTTATCCACGTATTTCCTTAGTACTATCACTATGACAACACATATCATGTAAATACTTACTATGATTAATATATACGCAAACACTTTTTTTTTTTTTTTTTTTTTTTTGGTGACAGGGTCTCGCTGTGTCACCCAGGCTGGAGTGCAGTGGTACCATCATGGCTCACTGCAGCCTCTACCTTCCAGGCTTAAACAATCCTCTGACCTCAGCCTTCTGAGTAGCTGGGACTACAGGCATGTGCCTCCATGCCCAGCTATTTTTTTATTTACTTTTTGTAGAGACTGGGTCTCACTATGTTGTCCAGGCTGGTCTTGAACTCCTGGGCTCAAGCCATCCTCCCCTTGGACTCCCAAAGTGCTGGGATTATAGGAGTGAGCTGGTGAGCCCAGCCTGCATATGCCTTTTATACACAGAAAATTTATTTTGGGACTTTATCTCACAGATACGTTTGTTCCTATGGGGAAGGTATATGCACAAGTTTAGTCACTGAAGCATTATATGCAACAGTAGGCATTTGGAAATAACAGAAATGTCCATGTTCAGAGGAGTGGTTAAATAACTTGTGGTAATCATTATAGCTAATGCTATACTGGCTTAAAAAGAAAAAAAAGAATTTTTTACACTGATATTAAATGATTTTTAAGGAACACTAAGTGAAAAGGTAAAATGAAAAAAAAAGTTTACGATATGCTACTACAAACGCAGGGACAAAAAGATCCTATAACTATATTGGCTTGCATACATATACAATTCTCTGAAGCATTAAAAGCATTTTGTTGAACATACCTGGTTGTAGTAAAGACTCCATATACTACAGGATTTCTTTCATCTCTTGTGGGGAGTAAATAAATATCTTCTATTAAAGGGGAAAAATAAATATTTACTCTTATTTTTCAGTATTACATTGCTTTTTTGTTAATAACACAACTGAAACTCTGAAAATCTAAACAGTTTATACGATTAACAGAGGCACTATATTATGCCTTGAGAAATCAAATATAAGATTGTTTTTTCTCAATGACTATGTATGGTATGGTACAATTGATAATCTCCAAGGTAGTTTCCAATTGGAAATCTGATTTCATAGAAAATATAAACCAAAAAATAAGTAATTTTTACCCTCTAGTGTAAAAAAATTCTGTCCTATAATTGTGTCAACTTAGTAATTAATTTGCCTTTTTTTTTTTTTTTGATGGAGTCTTGCTGTGTCACCCAGGCTGGAATGCAGTGGCACAATCTCTGCCCACTGCAACCTCTCCCTCCTGGGTTCAAGCAATTCTCCTGCCTCAGCCTCCCTAGTATCTAGGATTACAGGTGCCCACCACCAGCCCGGCTAATTTTTTTTTTTATTTTTAGTAGAGATAGGGTTTCGCCATGTTGGCCAGGCTGGTCTTAAACTCCTGACCTCAAGTGGTCCAAACACCTCGGCCTCCCAAAGTGCTGGGATTTCAGGTGTGAGCCACCACACCTGACCTCATTTACCTATTTGGTAACAATAAGAAAATAGCTACCCCCAAATTAGTGCCGTATTGACAGTAAGTTATGTGCAAATAATATTCTTTAAAAGATTAAGATGTGAATGTGCTTACATACAATAGGAGAGGTCATCCACGATTACTCAATGTATACTTTAAGTTGGAAAATACACAATACTGATGAAATAATTCCATGATATAGATTATCATTTTTACATTACATGGCAAAAATAAGAACAAGTTCAAGAAGCTAAAAGCTAATGATGCTAACATTATACATAAACAAAAAAGAAAAAAATCATTGTAGGACTTGGAAGGAGTTTTTGAGGGAGTGAAGAGGAGAAGTGAAATAGAAGAAGCTGTCTACTGCTTCTGATTATTCTTTCATTAACAAGTCGGAGGGACAGTGTTCACCAAATCTCCTGTACTTGCCAGCAGAGGGCACCCGTGGAATAAGGAATCCAAGATTTTCCTACCTATAGAAGGTGGCTCCTTTCAAAATGAAAGACTGCATGGAGAATGGATGAACTGTGTAGTTCCAGAGCTCACACCTTTCTGTGTCTTGCTGTAGTTTTGTTTCCTTCACTTACTTTGAGGACTCTTACAAAGAGAAGAGTTACTGCATTATGACGTGTGCCCAGACCTAGAGCACTTCCGTGTACTTTGCGTGTGAATTTTAGTAAGAACCACTCCTGTAAGGTTTGCTCAGGTAAAATTAATCAGGCATTTGGAGCCAAAGGGAAATAAATGCCAAGTTACTTAATTAGGCAGTAAGGCCTTTCCAAGAAAGAAGGAAAGAAGGAACTTACGAAGCTCATCAAAGTAAGTATCTGCCCCATCACTTCCAGGAATTGAGCAAATCAGTCTGGCCTTAAGAAAAGTCGTCCACTTGTTTATCAGGCTGCGTTGTCCTCCTACATCATTCTGACATGAAAAAAAAAATAAAGATAAATATTTATCAACACAATTCTACCACTCACTAAAACTGGTGGCTATTACAGGTAGTGTCTTATTGATGTCATTGTTTACAAAGACACTGAACCCAGATATTGAGTCCTTGAACTTTAAAATAAGGAAAAAGACAGTATTAGCCCTCAATATTAAATGTTTTTCTCATAGTTAAATGAATTAAATACAAGCAGTTCAGCTCTATTGGATGAGTAGATGCATACAAGGCAATGGTAAAGGCAGCTTGAAATCAAATCCCACCTGCCAATTTTTTGCTTCATGACCTGCAAGAGACTATTTTTTTTAAGTCTCTGTTTTCTCACTGATAAAAATGATAAATCTCTTGAAATACGGTTAGTTAATTTTTGTTGTTGTTTTTCAGAGATGAAGTCTTTCTATGTTGTCCAAGCTGGAGCGCAGTAATTATTCACAGGCAAGATCATTGCCTCAAACTCCTGGGCTCAAGTAATCCTTCCACATTAGCCTCCTAAGTAGCTGATACTACAGGTGCATACCACTGAACCCAGCTGAAATATGGTTGGTTTGATGAGTAAATGGGGAAAAAAAGTCTATAAAATGCTTAGCATAGTCTCAGGCAACTTGAGTTCAATGAATGCTGGTACTGGCTTGTATATTATTTATAGGATTAAAAACAATATTTGCAACCTTTAGCAATATGTCTCTTTATAGGCTTAAAAGTCTTTTCCAAATTTAATGTCTTACTAATTAAACATCCATGCAACATAAACATATGCGTAATAATACACATATAAAAACCATCCTTTTGCCTATAATCACAGCACTTTGGGAGGCTGAGGCAGGAGGATCAGCTGAACCCAGTAGTTCGAGACCAGTATGGTCAACATAGTGGGATCTCATCTCTACAAAAATTTTAAAAATTCAGTCATGTGTGGTGGGGTGTCCCTGTAATCCCCGCTATTCAGGAGGCTGAAGGAGGAAGATCACTTAAGCCCAGGGGGTTGAGGCTGCAGTGAGCCATGTTTGTGCCACTGATTCCAGCCTGGGTGGCAGAGCAAAACCCTGTCTCAAAAGCAAACAAAACAAAAACAAAAACAAATCTTTTAAAGAATATTTATCTATATTTTCCATACTTTATTTTTACTCTGAAATGGTTCATTAAAAATGTTCTTTAAGCATTTAGTAAAACATAAACACTTAAATCAATTACACGATAAACAGAATTACACTATTCAATAATTCAGCATAAAAATTTATGTCCTCATTTTTAAATTAATATATACCTGTTGATATGGTTTGGCTCTGTGTCCCGACCCAAATCTCATCTTGTAGCTCCCATAATTCCCACATGTTGTGGGAGGGACTCTGTGGGAGATGATTGAATTATGGAGGCGGGTCTTTCCCATGCTGTTCTCGTGATAGTGAATGGGTCTCACGAGATCTGATGGTTTTAAAAACAGGAGTTGCCCTGCATAAGCTCTCCTTGCCTGCTGCCATCCAGGTAAGATGTGACTTGCTCCTCCTTGCCTTCCGCTATGAATGTGAGGCCTCCACAGGCATGTGAAACTGTGAGTCCAATTAAACCTATTTTTTTTAATAAATTCCCCAGTTTCTAGTATGTCTTTATCAGAAGCGTGAAAACAGACTAATACACCTGTGAACACTGAATAAGCATGATTTTTCATTCATTTAACCCAACTAGCTCTGCTGTGCTTATAATAAGACTAATTTATTTAAATTACTATTGAAGCCATCTTTTCCAATAATTTATTTATATTTAAGTATAAATTATATAAAATCATTTATCCTTCAATCTATGTTCTGTAAAGTTAATGAGAAGTTAACTGTTAAGTTTCAAGTCTGAATATCTAGAAACTTTCTTCTTTTATCTCTGAAATTAAACTAGAGAAAGGCATTTAAATGACTACAACAAACAAGAGAATTTGAAATCTTATAAATACTATGCTTGAAGAAAGGGGGAAGGGGAGAAAGAAAGGAAACCAGAGACCAGAGGTATCTTTATAGCCTTAGCACCTAACACCAAGGGCATCTATGGTATGTGATACCCAGAGTGAATTATTTTTTACATTCCTTTCTCACTAAACAAAAGATACATTTTCAGTAACAGTTCTGTAAAACTCAGGAATAATTATTATTTTCTTTATTTGTTCTTTAGGTTTATAACACACAATTTTAAAATAATAACTTTGAAATCTAAAAGCAACAACATTCAATAGAATATTTCATGTAAGAACTAAAAATTGGCACTTAAGGAACAAACTATCACACCTCCTAGTTTGCACTATGTCTCACTGTTTTAAATTTTAAATGATTCCAAATCATTATGAACTTACTCTTGGAACATGTGTGTAGCTGAGTTCATGTGTGCTGGAGGCTTACTATCCACACAAATATCCATATATACATATACATAATAGATACACAGTAGTAAACCACAGTTTAAAATCTAGACCAACAAGACTCTTTTATGATTAGCATATTGTCACTGACACTGTTTACAATTACTGGCATGTGGCAATAATAAAAAGCACAATAATTTTTAGTTGGTTTTTGAATAATTTTTAATTCTTGTAGACAATGCACTCCCTAAAATTCCCTCTACTCAACTCCCAATATGTCACTAAATCCCTATTGCTGTTGAATGAAGACATGATTAATAGTTAATAAATAACTAAGAATAAAACATAAAATTGAAAAAAATTTTCAGAATGGTATAGACTAAGGGCCAAGGATTTCATTATAGTGGGAAAAAGGCAAAAACTTCACTGAAGAGTTGGGTTTAATGTTAACTTTTTACAATAATAGATGGGACCAAACTACATATGTAGAGATTGGTTCAGGTAATACTGTCTGTGCTGGAAACTAGGGAAAAGGACAATGGGTGGAACAATCCAGGACATCTAGGAGAATCAGGATAAACTGTGTTTAGTTGAAGACTGAGATCAATTAAAATAGTGAAGGAAAAAGTTATGAAAGTAAATTGGGGTAAGATCAAGGAAAGCTTTAATGCCAGGCCAAAGTGTCTGTATGTTATTAAGTGCACATGAAGAACTACTAAAAAATTTAGTAATTGGCAAAGAAGTTAAATAATCAGTTTCCTTTTAAGAAAATGTATAATATATTCTATATAGTGGCTCTGTCATAAAAAGCCTGTCGGTAATTGCTCTTACATTTATATTTTATATACGATGCCTTTATTATGAGTATCATTGTTAAGAAATAAAGTATATTTCAGCCAGTTATTGGATGATTTCAGATGTCTGCAGATGCAGACAGATTTATCTAGATATGACCTGTTTTTAATGCCAATATCCTCAGAACATTTATGAATATATATCTGTACGTTAATAAGAATAAGCAAAAATATTGACGCTTTCTCCTAATGTAACAATGAGTTCTGTGTTCATGTATAGTAGGATTCCAGTGAGAAGATGTATATCTGGAATTATCAGAAACTAAGATAATTTTAAATGAATTTAAAAATGTAAGATATTTCCCCATCTTTCTCATGGCTCTTGATTTAGATCTGTTTAAAGTAACGTATCTAATCTTTACATTTTTTTATCAGCTTTCTAGTTGTGATAAGAAGAGCACTAGTAAAAACATTTTTATTTTAATGAATTCTTATATATTGATAGTATTTATTAAATTTTCTTTGCCTAAATTTGTATATTTTGAGAGGATCAGCAGTGAATACTAAAAATAATGTTGATTCAATAAATATAAACAAACATATCAGTGATCATGAATATAATGCCAGAGACTAAAGTTTGTCTTACCCATCACAGAATATATGCTGAAATTATTTTGTTATGTGAATACATATATAATCAGAATATCTGCTTAACGACATTCCTTTAATAGGCATATACAGTATTCATAAAAATGAGCAATCGTATCCTCTTTTAAACATTTTACTATGTAAAAGTGATAATAAATGTTCATTTTCAAACATTTCCTCCCTTTCTATTTACAATTATCACTGATATTTAAGGTAACCATGAGAACATTCTAACTAGCAGAATAATCCCATCTAGATTTGTAGGACAGAAAAGGGATTTATACTGTACTGCATTTCTTTTAACCTGACCAAAAAATAGAAATTTTTTGAACAAAATAATCTTACCTACCCATCCAACAGCCTTCTCTAGCCCCTCAGGAATAAAAAGATAAAAAACCAAGACAAAACAAAACAAAAAAATCCAAGCCAAAGATGAAAGCCACCTGCTGTCAGAAGGGAAGCAAATACAGTTCCTGGGATAATAGCACTCAGGAATGGATTATAAGCATTTAATGACTGGATAGTAACTCTTACAGACATCCAGAAGCATGACCTGAGATGGCAAAGTTCAATTCACAAGGAGTTGTATTTCTCCTGTAGGGAAATGTCAGTTGGGCTGACTTTGTTGACCAGTTTCTCAGTCCCTGGATTTGTTTGCATATCCACACAATCTCCTCTAAGAACTTTAAGCCCAGAAGAGGGCTGAAAGGGAGGTAACCACTTTTGTACTAAATTGTCACCTCCTTGCTTATTTTTGTGAAGTTCTAAAGAATATAACCATCTCACGAACACAATAGATTTATCATTAAGATGTCAAAATCAGCAGTTTTTAGTCACCAGGCACTTCTGTGGGTCTCTACACTATTTATCATTCACTTTTTGTAGTTAAGTGTTCCAAAAGCCTTGACACCCTCTACACAAAGATGCAGATGAAAGTAACAAAGAAAGTATATGTAAACAAGCCTGATCACATGTGTTCAATTTGGGTGGTAAGTACAGAGGGTGCCTGTTTTCCTGTACTTGTTATATGTTTGCAGTATTTCTTAATTTAAAATGATTAATTAAAAAAAGAAAAAAAAATTAAAGACAAAACAAACCACAATTTGCAATCCTTCAGCAGCTTTAAAATATAGTACATCTGAGTCATTTGATTGTATGATGGTTGCATGTTACGAATTACTAAGATCTTCTAATCATAGCATCTACTGATAGGTAGATCAGACCTAAAGCAGGGTAATATGGCATTATATTTTCCTTCTACTGTCCCAGCAAAACTTAAACCCTTATAAATCTTATATAGACATGTAAAGTAGCTAGCAGCTGTCACACATGAACTTTTATTGAGTGTGCCTTTTGAACTTTGGGTCACTATGCTGGGTTCCTCTGTTAAACGTGATTTTATCTGTATATACCATCCTCTTCAAGGATCCCTCAGTACTTTATAAACATTGTCATTTTAACCTATATATTAGATAACAGTGGCTTTTGGAAAATGTAATAATTGACTTTCGGCTCCTATGCTCTTAAATCCTGAAGATTTTGTAAAATCAGTTTACTCTCCAAGACATTTGAAAACAAGTATTTTGTTAAGCTACTAATTTGTGTGCAGAGATTTGTAACCCTATTCATGAGTTTAAGTTGAAGGACACCAGTTTCAAATCAATAGAAACTGGATAATGACAAAGTTTAAGAACTTTAAAAAATAGTTGATGCTGGAGTTAGAGGTTATAAATTATTCTCTGCTTAAAATTTAGTTATTTTGCCTAATACTGCTCTTCTGTATCTTTGTGCAAGCAAGAGAATGAAATTCTCAGACACTTTGAAACCATGATATATGCATTCTTTGTGTGCCCCACTCCCTGTTCTACCCATTAATAACACTTATGCTTATAGATTTTAGTTTGAATTAATACTACTCACCTTCTTTTGAAGTGTGATATAAATACTACAGTATTATAAATTAAGAAAAACCTATTCCATTACCCAAACTAACACTGAGGCAAACACACAGGCTTTCTGTTGGCCATTTTTACAAATTCAACAAATAAGATTAGGGAAATTTAATACTTTTGTCTTTTTGATTTAATGCCTGTTATATTTCAATCCATCATTCATATTCTTTGCTTGATTTGTCATTTATAATAGATCCCACAGCAACTGTCCAATCTACATCTATCTGTGTTGTCTCAATCTTCAGTGGGTTATTTCTAGAAACAGATTTTAGAATCTTTCTTTGAAAACTTAGTACAAATGATCTGCATGGGGCTGTATAAATAAATAATAATGATAAGGACAATCCAAACTCAGGGTGGTCTATTCAGAAGTTTGAAACTATGACCATGACATGGTAGAAACAAAAAGTGAAACCTGGCATAAGCCCCCAAGAGACTCATTAGAAGTGTATGCCTTATATTGAACTATATTACTATATTGTGAAGATCTTAAATGAGTATGTTTTGATACATTAAGTGAACTAATGGAAGATAGTGAAGTTATGCTCATTAAATCAAATGAAACAAACTTTGTTGAACTACCCTTTTTAGCCTGTGGGTTTTCTTTTGCAATACTTGCAATGCCATAACTATGTTTCATGTACCTGGTTCATTGGGATTTTTAAAAAAGGATCTGACCACTAAAAAATGAAGGCAAAAATAATAATATGAATTTTAAAAATACGGTTGAGAGTTTTCACATAACCATATTTGGCAGTCAACTCCGGTAAGTTAAGTTGTAGAAACAAATGTAGAAACAACTGTGTAACATAGAACATGTAGAAATATAACATGTAGAAACAAATATCTCTTCACTTACTTTCTTTGGCAACTTAAATTATAAGCATTTTTTAACATAAAGAGAAATTTATGGATACCGTTTCTCTTTACCAGAGGAAGGTCTATTGGCACTTGCTCTTTACTGTTTTCAAAAGTTTTTTTTTCCCACTTCTGATACTTAGGATTCCCCCCAAAATTCTTGACATATAATAACATAGAGTCCTTTACCTCACCTACTAATAATCTTGAAATACTTTAGATGAAATAAAAATATACAAACTCAAACATCTAAGGCAAAGGATAGAGGAGAAAAAAAAAGAACAACAAAAACTTTTGTGGCAGCTATTAAACACACTAACTTTTAAGGGATAAATTCTATAGAGGCTTTCAAGGCAATTTTTTTTTTCTGAAAAATACACCTAGTATTTAGAGACGACTATTTGTGATTTGCCGTTAATGACTAAGCAAATAGAAGTGGAGAACATGTTTTTCTAACTACTTCAGAAACTCATAAAAATTATTGGAAATACAGGACTGGTGTAATACACTATCCTGAACAACTCAGTTTCTAAGATTTAGCACATTCAGTTAGGTAAATCTAGGAATGTTAAGCAGTCCTTTTCAGGTAGAATCAGAGTTCATTCAATTAAAAAAAAAAAGCTGTAGCAAACAGTATAAACCCCTTCCTAGGAATTTCTCAGACAGGAAAACAGATGGAAGTGAAGCAAAAGCACATCTGTAACTCGTGGGCACTAAATCTCTCATTTAGGTTGTAAGTGACATGCTGAAAGTAAGCACAAAAACCACAGCTCAACAGAGATCAATAAATACGGAAAGTGTCATCGGCCTAAAAACACAAATCTTCAAAGGCAGTAATTGTCCAAATAGGACCATATATCAAAATAGACAATGCAAGTGGAATTGAAGCAAAGGGCTATTAATGAGACCCCCAGGCAAGTTATGTGAAAGGGCCATCCAAACTGAATTCCTGGCATGGGGAAAGGAAATACTGCAAAACAAAAAAGAGAACTGGCATAACCTACAGCTGGAATCTGGAGTAGACTTGCATAAGTATAATGGGCAGCTCTTCCAAAAATGAATAGAATTCAAAAGTAATGCAAAACAGCCTTGAGGTGAAAAATTGCAAGCAAGTCTCACCGAAAGAACTAGTATTTCCACCCATTGACTTAAAAGGTGGGTCTTGAAGGGAAACACACACACACACACACACACACACACACACACACACACACACACACAGAGACAGAGTAATAAACATCAGACAGACATAAATAATGTATTTTGAAAGTACTAACTTGCAAAGTAAATAGACACAAATCTTTTCAGTGGGTTTATTTCATGTGGTTTTGCCTATTCATTCAATTAGCATTTAATAGCTCATCAAGAAGATCTGTGTTATTTACCATCTACGAGAGCAGTTCTTTGGGGTGTAAGTTGCACCATTTCGTGCTTCAAGATATTAACTGTTTCACAAAATGAAAGAACTGTAGAGCTTGACAAGGACTTTAGAAATCCTTCAAGGTTAAACAATTTATTGGAAAAATAGAGTAAGTAGTTTGACTGGAAAGTAGGAACACTACTAAAAATAATTCATTAGGAAATGTGCTCTACCATGTATAATTATAAACATATTAAGTTTAAAAGATATTCTGTGGATGAAGGCACTTATTCGCCTCAGGCTCTCATTGATCAATATTGCCCAGTAAAATTATCTTTTAAGTCAGTTTATTTATTGTGTCTCTCTTCATTGATATCTCTTGACCAAAATTTGCATTGTTCAAATCATTTATGCAACTTTCTCCAAATACAGCTCCAAATTACTTTGACTATGTTCAGAAATAAGATCAATCTTCAAAGCACAAATTCTCCTAAAGATAAAGAAAAATAATAATGTAACTTCAGCCTTTAAAACTAATAAAATGACATATCTCTTTGATCACCTTTGGTAACTAACCTGCCCCTAACACTGCAAAATACACGCACCACTACCATCAACACCAACTTCTTCCATTCCTAAGCACAGGTACGCTGATCTGGCTCCAAATGTATGTGTGATGTGTGTGTATGTGTGCACATGCATGTGTGCATATGTGTGATTTTTGGGATTAAATTCACTGTAGTGTGACCAGATATTTACATTATTTACATGTCAATCTCTTATAGTAAATTGTTACATGCTTGTAAACTTAGATATCTAAGTTACCCTTGTTTTTGGCACCTTCCTCAGTTATCTGTCACATCCAAATTCATATGATCTTATTAAAGCCTTACATTTGCTTGGTAAAATAGTTATGGAAGCAATAGGTGCCTGCTGTCCTCATTTTTTAGGTTAAGAAACTGAGAGAATGGGAAGTAGAGCAAAATGTAAGCCTAGATCTGATTTTAAGTTGAACATTCACATCATCCAGGCAAAAGTCATTGATGATATCATTACTGCAAAATCTAATACCTAGTCTTTAATCATAATCTTACCTGACCTCTTTTTGATAAGCGACATTTTTGACAACTGCTTTCTTCTTGAAGCAATCTTTTCCCCTGACTTGTGACAACACTCTTCTCCAGTTTTCCCACTCAGCAATGACACCATTTCCTCTCAATTGCCTCTGCAGACACTTTTCTCTTCTATTTCCTAAATGTCATTGTCCCATTGGATTCTATCCTTGCCCTTTGATCTTGCACTACAAATCTTCCTGAGTAATGTCAGGCACTTCCATAACTTCAAGATCTGCCAGTGTACTGCTGATTTTCAAATTTATGAGTCCAGAGACTACTGAGCCTCAGGTTATATTTTCAACTGGCTATTGTGCCCCCATATCTCAGAACCACATCAAGTTCTTCATATCCAAATATAAAAATCTGTGCTCATAATTTTTTTTGTTATTTACCATCTCATATCAAAATATATCTCTTTGCACATGTTCCTGGTCCATGTTGTATCTTCCAGGAATCACAATTACCAAGGATAAAAGGGTACTTGTCTACAGGGTAGGTATCAAAATCTCTATGATAGGAGCAAGAGAATTAAAATGCATTAAAAATTTAGCTCATGAGTCATGCCAGTCATATTTGAACACTAACATCTACATGGCGATTGTATTGGATAGTGCAGGTGTAGAATATTACCGTCATTATAAGAGTGCTCTATTGGTCAGCCCTATGTATACCAGGCAAACAATAAAAGAGCAGTAATAAAGTGAGGACTTTATAGAAATCTACATATACACCTACATATACTTTCTATCTGAACTATCTCTTGAACTTACTCTTAGTGCTTATCTCTTTGTTCCTGTTATCTTTAGGGAACAACCTAACAGGTCTCCCAGTCACAAATATTTCTCGATCCAGATACATTCTTCAAATTGCTGCTAACTATATTTACCTATCTTGTCACTTCTCTGCTTAAAACATTTTATAATCCCTCATTGACTACAGGATAGAGTTCACACTGACTAACATGGAAACAAAACTTCTTATCAACCAACTTACCACTCTAATCTCAAAAGTCATTGCTCCCCAGACACATCCCTTGAATTCCAGTTACAACAAGATTTCACTGTTCTATAAACAAAAACTAAAACCAAAACTAAAACCAAAACCAAAACAAAAATAAAAACGAAAAACAAACAAACAAAAAACAACTGTCACAACGCTGCCTGAAATGCCTGGCCTCCATTCCTTAGCGTAGTCCCACTTCCTCATAGAACTCAACTAAAGCACCACTTCCTTCATACAATGTTTTTGGGCTTCACCAAATCCCTAGAGTTCTTAGCTCATAACTCTATCACATCACATTATGATTATTTGTTGATATATCTATTGCCCTCACTATACTAAAAGCTTTGAAAGAAAAGGGACAGTGGTTGATTATCTACACTAATTGTCTAGTATAGTGCATTTTGCGCAGAAATTATTTCATATTTTGTTGCTGTTGTTGAAATAATTAGATAATAAAATAATAAACAAAAGAGTTATAAAAGTGAAAAGATTCACACTTGTTGTGAGAATAATCCTTTACCCATTTTTATATAATGTTTCTCTATTGCCAAAATCTTTTCCCCACCAATCACAGTATACTACTTAGTCTAATAGTATCTTTGACCGGTCAATAAAACTAGTTTTACAAGTCAATAAAACAATTGTTTTTCAGTTAGTAGCTGAAGATGAAGGGAGCTCTTAAATTGTCAGCAGTTCTTTACTGTGCTAACTTATTCAGTGAAAAATGAGAACAAATGAACTATAACAGCAAGAACAACAAAACCTGAGTATTTCCAAATATGTTCTGTGGGAATATGCTGGTGGAACAAATAGAATAAAGGACTCTCATGTTACTAAAAAATCTTTGTAAAACTCAGTGAAGCATACACAGTTTACTCTTAGTTTCCTCTAACATGATCTGTTGCTTCTTAGATCTTTACTTGTATCTACTGAACTCAATTTTGTTTCATAGCATAGATGTGCATTCTGTTATTACTTGTCAAAAGAAAAAAACAGTATTATAATGACGCTGGGGGGAAGAAACAACAGAAAGGAATAATAAGTTTCAAATAATGTCAAAATAATCTTTTTTATGTGAAAATAAGATTACAGCAACAATGATGCTGAGGTCTTTTTTTGTTATTGCTAAAGTTGTTATTGTTTTGTAGGCCATCTTGTCATATTTTAAATAAAGATTTTAAGTCATTTTTCATGTTGTCAGTGAAATCTCCACTTGAAAATGTTCACTTTTTGCCACAACTTAATCTTAGATTATTAAGTTAGAAACATGGGCAGCATGTGATGCAACTGAGAAACTGCAAAGAAAGCATTTAGAACCAAAATATTGTAGACATTTGACCAATGGATCATATGTATAGTGAGAAATTCTGAAGATGTGCTCATTTAAAAATGTGATTGAGTGGAGATACACTAATTAATGAAGAACCTCTTTTTTTAAAAAATAAATTCATCCATCATATATTCTTTTTTGATCTCACAATTTGTTAGCTTTTTAACCAAGAACAATAGCATGACAGAATCTTGCTGTGTGGCCTCAGAGGTTTTGTGTGTGTGTATGTGTGTGTGTGTGTGATGAGAAAACTCATTTACGACAATTTTCTCTGCCTTTCCAGTTCTCTAGGTGTTTTTTCATAATATAAATAAAATATTACATGGTTGATGTTTAGAGAATAGGTTATAATTTTAATATAGGAATTTATATATGGGATAACTAGATTTTTCTTTAATACACTCTGAGATTAACTTTCAGTATATTTATACTAGGGTAAGACATTACTTTGTTACAAATACATTTCTATTAAATGGATTATATTTATCAAGAAATAAGCATTGAACTGGTGCACAAAATATATATTTACTTGCTATATATATTCATCAGAAAGTGACTCTTGAAATTCATTTAATTGATTGTAAATCCCTTATTCTTTATTTAACATAGCTCATTTATACAAATAATGTCAATCCACAACACAGCTTTTCAGGGTCAGGATACTGTTGCTATAAGGCATGCTTCAATACACTAACACATTAGGACTACTCCAAACAACAGGCATTCATCTCTAGGCAAGAGGCTTCAAGAGAAATTACTGTGAATTCTTAGAGTCTGAAAGAATGAGAATGCTTTTTAGAGAATCTGTCCCCTGGGGGTGAGGGGATCAGTGGGAGACAGCATTATTGGCTAGGACACTAGGTAAAGAATGATCTGGGCTCACAAGTTGGCCTCATTCAAAAGCCATGTTTTCATTAGCACTTTTAAGTGCAATGATGGTTTGTATTTCTGTCCCTGAAAGTGTTCAGAAGCCTGAGGGTACAGATTGAAAGAAAAACGTGATAGGTTCAGATAGAAGAAAATGAAAAGTTTGTACAAGACCAAAGAAAGCTTCCTGCTGAGAGTATTTATTAACAGCTCTTCCCCTTAATAACTGAGTTGATGCTAAAGGTGTCTTTTTAAGAAAAGTTATTTCAGTGGAGACAAATCTAAGCAGAAAAATAATATACTGAAGTTAAAGTATGATTCTAGTAGCAACATTATTCCATAAAGCTTGTATTCAGTCAAATGAGAGCTTTGATGGCACAAAATGGAAGCCTCTCATAGAGTATCTGTGTTTATTTATAATTTACATAAAATGGCAAGATTAAAAACTAATTGCAGTATTCTTCAAAATAAATATTTTGCATTGTGGTTGTTTGTTTTTTCCTCTTTACCTCATTTTCTCTCAGAACCTAAACTAGATTACAGGTCTAGAAAATATTTAATAGAGTAATAACGTAACAAAATTTCAACTGATTTGATGCATGTAATGATATATAATTTTACATATGTGATGTGCGTGATGATAAAAATGTAGAATATACATCTGATGATGCTTAAATTACTCTAGGGATTACGTTAAGTTACTTTCATTTAGATTATTTAACATTATATAAAAACATTTTAAGCTCCAGGGATCAGGACAATGCAGTGATGTTACTGGGAATAGCAATCACTGGCAAAAGAATAGACCTTCAATAAAAGAAATAAGCTGCCAAAGATGTGTAACTCACACCAGGGCAACAGTTCAGGCACTGTTGGAAAAATAAACTGTAATGTTTGAAAAATGTGAACTCTTTCCTTTTTCTTTCTTTTCTTCTTTTTCTTTTCTTTTCTTTTTCTTATTTTTTACATTTGGATCTCAAAAATTACACATCTAGGGTAGTATGAATCATACCATTTATGAATAATGAGCATTAACTTTGGCTTAAACCTTGCCAAAGTTTTTTCATATACATATATATATATATATATATATATATATATATATATATATGTTTTAAGTAAAATATATAAATATATCTTGCCTTACAAACTCTTCCAACTCGAGAAAGGATGGTTTTATCGGAGGTACTGCCTTCTTGAGATGATTCACGAAAGAAGAAATATATTTTATCATCATCTGGATTGTAGGTGTCTGGTATGAAGAAAGTTCCAATAAATTTTGCTCCTGTTTGAAAGAAAAGAAGCTATAAATTAAGATACTGAAACAATCCAGTCATCATAGTTTGATGATATTTCCACGTAAAAGCAATTAGCAGTAGAATTTTTAAAAAATGAACTATAAGCCAGATGTGGGAAATGAGATGTGTATACAAATGAAGATGACACAATGTAGAAATATGTATCAGCATAAAGAGGTACTGAACAAGTTCTCCAGGAATTCCAGAGAGCAGGTGAGAACATGACTAGACTAAATTGCTTGTAGATCTTTTCAGATATGGAGATGCTATCATTTTATATTCTCTTTCTATATAATGGAGTTTTCAACCACCATGTCTTTCATAAACGGCTTAGGAAATAGTAAAAATCTAGCACTGATTTTGACATACTGTGATGTATTAATACTTTGATGAATTTTGTGTAATTGCCCTAGGGGTATAAAAATGGAAACAACCAGTAGTGTTTGGTTCAAGTTCAATATGACAGTATAGGCTCTAGATAAACTTTCTGAATTTATCTCTTTCACTGCCACTCACTGGAATGGTGACCTTTGACACATTATTTATCTTTTCAATGACTCAATTTACTCATATGTAATATAAGACTACCAACGTCATCTACCTAATAAGATAATTTATATTATTATCAAGTGGATTTATATGTGTATATACATAGCATTTATATACATATAGCATATATAAGCATTAAATTCCTTTTTATATGTGTATATATGCTATATATATAGCATTTATATAACATTTTATATATATAGCATATATATAGCATTAAATTTCTTTATACAACAAACATTTAGCTTTAACACCTCCAGTATTCCTCCAAAACAATTTTTTACAGTACAAAAGCCAGTATTTATGACAGAGTTCTATAAAATCAATGACTGAATAAACAGAATAAGGCTATCCGTGGTATATATTAGTTGAAAGGTAAAATAAATAGCACTTGGAAAAATATCCATGCTTTTTCCTCCTCCCACCTCATTGATGTCATACTGAAATTTATATAGCATACATATACAGCATATATATATATATATATATATATGTATAGCATTTAGCATCAGGCAAAGGCTGGTTATATAATAAGTATTTAATAAGTGTGATTATTATTAAGATAGTTATGGGGCTGATAAGCATTATCATTACGATGACAATATACAGGGGTTAATAGAAAATTGAGTACATCCATGTACTTGTAAAAATAATATGTCATTATTAAAAATTTAGTAGATCTGTAGGTACTGACCTGGAAAGATGGCCATAATATATGTACAGTGTAAAAATGTTTGCAATATGATGAACCTCTTTTCACTGTATCACTGAAAAATTTATTTGGGTTTCTAAAACCTTGTTTAAGAGGTATTCGGCATTTTAAGTCTTGGTTTTAAATAATTGTGAATTAACCAGGTAACAGATGCGTAATAGGATGATACCAGTTCAGAAATAATTGGATTAAAGCAAAGAAGACAGAGAGTATGGTTATTGAGAAATGAAGGAAAGACTTCAATTAGAAAATATGTGGCACCTGGAAAGAAGAACAGAGCACTGACTTTTTAAGAAGCAGAAGCAAGAGAAAAGAGAAGCCAAAAAGTTTTAACAGAAAAATAAATTGGCGGGAGGTGAAAAAGATCAATATTGCCTTTTCTAGAGTTTTGCCTAGAGCTCTGATTGCTGTGCGCCCCAGGTGTTATGAAAATCACTCTCCTGCAAATGTACAGCAATTGGCCAATATCCCAATAAAGCTTCACAGTAGCCTTCTTTAATAGACAAGTTAATGTTGGGGCTGGGTGTGGTGGCTCACGCTTATAATCCCAGCACTTTGGGAGGCTGAGGCGGGTGGATCACTTGAGGTCAGTAGTTTGAGAACAGCCTGGCCAATATGGTGCAACCCTGTCTACTAAAAATACAAAAGTTAGCCGGGCATGGTGGTGCACATCTGTAATCCCAGCTACTTGGGAGGCTGAGGCACGAGAATCCCTTGAACCCAGAAGGCAGAGGTTGTAGAGAGCCGAGATCACACCAGGGCACTCCAGCCTAGGCGACAGAGACAGACTCCGTCTCAAAAAGAAAATAAGTAAATAAAAAGTTAACGTTGGATTCCGAGTGATGGGTATTCAGTCAATATCGTCTCAGCCTCTCTGGGTTGGCCCTGTGTCTCCCATCCAATCTCTTCTTTGCTTTAATGCAAAGCTTTGAAAGGAAAAGAAAGGAGGGAAATACATTCATGAACTTTCTTCTCCTTATTCTATATTATTTTCCTGTTTTCTTTTGTTTGTTTTGTCGGTAATTTAGAGCTTCAATGGACTTTTATATTCTTGATAATCTCACTTTGGTATGGTTTTTCAAAAATATATAAAAATAAAATTTTAGAAAACCACATAAAGTATTTAATTTTTTTCTAATTAATCTCAAATTGGCAAGGCCCATTAAAAATTCCATTCAATGTCTTCCCCAACCCCTGCCCCGGCCCTCTTTCAAATTGTTAGTAAATCACGAATACTTGGTTTTGATCACTGAGCAAAGTAAAAATCTCTTTTTTTTTAATCGCAAACCAAC
Organism: Homo sapiens; assembly: GCF_000001405.40. Classification (NCBI taxonomy): domain Eukaryota; kingdom Metazoa; phylum Chordata; class Mammalia; order Primates; family Hominidae; genus Homo; species Homo sapiens. The sequence goes on from NC_000007.14 coordinate 85,058,426, forward strand.
ACTTCAGATTTTTTATTTAAACATGTTTTCTTTTAAAAAGCACCTCTTGGTGTGGCTCACGCCTATAATCCCAGCACTTTGGGAGGCCGAGGCCGGCAGATCACGAGGTAAAGAGATAGAGACCATCCTGGCTAACACGGTGAAAGCCCATCTCTACTAAAAATACAAAAAAATTAGCTGGGCGTGGTGGCGGGCGCCTGCAGTCCCAGCTACTCGGGAGGCTGAGGCAGGAGAATGGCCTGAACCCGGGAGGCGCAGCTTGCAGTGAGACAAGATTGTGCCACTGCACTCCAGCCTGGGCGACAGAGCGAGACTCCACTACAAAAAAAAAAAAAAAAAAAAGCAACTCTTTGTGGGATCAAATTGTTCTATAAATGTGAGATTCGGGTTTCTGAAATTCAAGAAAACAGAGAAATAATGTATTTCATTACTATTATATTCAAGGAATTTAGTGCAAAAAAAAAGAAAACTATTTGAATTAAATAATAAAAGAATGAATAAGAACTGACACTCTATATCAAACCAAGTATGATCTGGATTAAGGAAATATTGACAAATGGTCAAGACATGGCTAAAGAGAATGCATAGCCATGATTTTTCCACTGACTTGATATTACAACAATGAACAGAGAAAAACAACCAACAGTGGGCTCCCACAAACACAGACCAGGGATGAATAATAATCTTTAGAACTTTTTGAATTTACAGATGCTTAAATCCAGTGCTGCCAAACTGGATGGAATTCTCTAGCTGAACTGCCATGTGTATTTTAAACATATACAAATACAAAAATAAATAAAACCCTATCTATATACGGGATGGGAAAAAGATACATTTAGACTCATTAACTCAAGGTCAATAATATAGTTCTATGTATGTATATATGGGGGCGTGGGGAATTAATAATAAATTCTTAAGTAATTTGAATGGGAAAAATGTATAAAACTGAAACTATGCAGAAATTATAGGAAATGATTGGATTTCCTTATCTTCACAAATATGTGGGATTACATCGGTATTAACATGAGTAGAATTTATTGTAGCACTTGCATATAATTAATGTAGAACTTACACATGCAGCATGATGTCCCTTGAAATTTCAGTGTCCTGTCAAACCTACAAAATGATTGAATTGAATTTATAATTTAAAAAATAACATAGTGGTACAAAGTGTAGAGAATCTTCTCTCTAGAGAGAAAATGAGAACTCAGTGATTCGAAACCGAAAAGCAGAACAGTTAAAAGGAATACCAATATGAAGGAGAGAGTTGCTTATAAAGCTTTCCTCAATCACTCAAATGGGAGAAGGGGTTCCATGAGCTGATTGTTGTTCACTTGTTTACAGAGTTTAATTAAAAGAAAAAAGAGCAGAATAATAAAATAGAACATAATGATAAAAGAAGTGTAAAAGGGGTATAAATAAATATGGCAATTCATTGTCATAATGCAGAAATGCATAGGAAAACCCACTTCAGATATGAAAAACATCATCCAAGTGTTGACAGGTATGGCTATTTGAAATGGCCAATAGGTAGGCTATGATACTAGTCTACATTTCAGAAATTTCAGTATGACATCAATGAGGTGGGAGGAGGAAAGAGCATGGATATTTTTCCAAGTGATATTTATTTTACCTTTCAACTGATATATGCCATAGACAGTCTTATTCTGTTTATTCAGTCATTATTGATTTTATTGAACTCTCTCTTAAATATTGGCTCTCTTGCAAGTACTGTAAAAAATGTTTTGCAAGGGAATACTGGAGGTGTTAAAGCTAAATGTTTGTTGTATAAAGAAATTTAATTATGAGAAAAAGAGTTAGTGTCAAGTAGTGCTTTATTCTGTGATTTAAATAGTAAGCATACTTGAGAGTTAAAAATAAATACAAGTTGCAAGCACAGAGTTTATTTCTTGCAGATTCTGTTGAGGTCCGGTCTTAGAACTCTGATGTTAGTATTTTATGACAGAAACTCTTCCCTGATTTACTGCCAAATTTGGGTAAAAATAGGTATCATTTAATCAGTGCATACTTGATCAATTAAACAACTTAAAATTATACCATTAGGCACCTGGGCTTTATTATAGCACATTTTCTCCATTTGGCACTTGAGTACATGCCCCAGTAGGAATGCAGCTTGAAATCATGCATTTTCAGATGAACTTCTAGCATGACACCAAGAGGCACTGCCAAAAGAACATGGCATAAACTCATGTGGCCTGCAGCACACACTACTTCCCTTTCTCCCTATGAAACTCTTTTCACCCAGATGAGCACACTAGCATTATTTAATAGATAGTAAGTTCCTAACTTCCTTTTATTACTTCTTATAGTCTCATTTTCCTATTATCATTTTTTGATGTTCTCCTTTCATGTGGAAGGAGAGTTTACAGACAACAGATCATCCCAAGAGAAACTTCAAATGAAAACTGTCTCCATATGTTAGAAAAGAAAATTTAAAACAAAAGTTCTCATCTATTCCAAGAAAGAAAACAAAAACATCTGCATGCATCTGAGGCGTTATTGTTCGCTTTCATCTTCCAAGTGGTCACACTTCTTAGTTTTATCCTAAAATTGTAACAAAAGCTCAACTGCATTTGAGTAAACACCCTAGTTTGCATCTATATTCCTATTTCCTATATGTTTTAAGATTAAGTTGATAAATCAAAGTGTGGAACCATCAAAGACTTCATTTAGAAATGCCCATAAAAATACTGTAAAAAAAACACTTTTTACAACTTCAAATGAAAACTGCCTCAAAGATGAAAAAATTTCATCTTTGCCATTTTGTATCCTCCTCGTAAGGTATTTGCTAGATGGATTAGTATCTTAAGGAAGGAATCAGGATTCCTACTTTTTAAGTCTAAACTGGATTAAACAGTCCTAGAAAAATTCTGAGAAGGATCCTTGCACTGTTAAGTGGTTAGCTGATCTCACTCTGGTTAATGCCAAGTGGGGCACAGAACATAATATGCCATGCACACCTGTATCAAGAATTTTAAACCCCCTAAGTGCTTCGGTGATAAAAATGGATTTATAAAAGATTCATGTAGCATCATATGAAAAATGATAACTCTTTAGAATCTGCATCTTAACAGTTAAATACTCACTTGTCGCAGTTCATCTGTATTCTCTCCCCTCCCACTCCTGACTCCAGACAGATGACTCCATTGACTTTGGACCATAGGCTGACTGTATCTGGAAAATCGCCCATTTCTCATAAAGGACAGAAATGTTCTCTGAGCAAGCCAATATTTTGTCTTAGTCCATCAGATCCCTCTTCATTATAAGAATATCATCATTTCTACAATTTCTCCCCTTACTCTGCCCTAGTTTCTGTGGACTGGGGAACTCCTGAATGACTGAATCTCCTGAAGCATTGTGCTCTTCTAGCTCTGGCCTGCCTTTCCCTCAGCAAATATCTGAATGGCTGCTTGCACTTTCCCTGCTTTCCCTGGCTCCAGCCAGACTGCCTAGGTCTCCCTCATTGCTTGCGGAACTCCATCTTCTCTATCTGTCCCTGCTTCCTGCTACCAGACCCACATCCTTGATTTGCTGTTGCCCTACATGGCATGTCCATATGTCCCAGTTTGTAGTGAGGCTGCAAAGAGCAGGGGACATGCCATCAAAAGAGCAGATTTTGAGCCGATGAACTGTATTATACAATGGAAATGATACAATATCAGGGGCGAGATACACATATTCGAGCTTCAATCTCACCTCCGCTAGCTGTTTAACTATGAACTATTATCTGACATCAAATATATCATCAAATGTAAAATGTAAATAGTAATTCTCTCAGGTTTATAACAGTCAATAAAATAGCACTTTAAAAGTGCCAAAGATAGGACTAGCATGGATATTATATAAAATAATTTTGAATGGGAAGAGATGAGAGATGGGGAGATCAGTTAGTAAACAATAAAATGGTGGCAATAAACCAGAGATGAGGTAATGAAGACCTATAGGAAAATGGTAACCATAGAAAGAACAAGGTCAACAGATATTTTCAAGGAAGTAAAAGCTCTTAGAAATAGATTAGATAAAGGAGAGGAAGAAGAGGAAGGAATCAAAGATAACTCCAAGGTAACTGGGTGGATGAAGTTAGGAAAGTTAAAATAGATAAAAATCAGAAAATGGATATTGAAGGACAGGTTTGAAAGAAGAAACAAGATCTATAACATTCACAAGATTTTAGACTTTAAATCCAATTAAAACAAAGGGTCATTAAACCACTTGTAACAACCTTAAAGCAATTTAACAGCACAATCAAAACTAAGGCTTACATATCTTGATTTTTATATAAAACAATAATCTTTTTTCTTTTAATCTAGAATAAAAATGGAAGTCATCCAAATAAATTATTTTTGAGGCCACTTAGTTACAGGAAAAGGTTGGAAATACAATTTTAGGAAACACTGGAACACAGGAAACAGTTGAAACTATTCGGATGGATGAGCTCACAGAATTATGAAGTGTAGAGGGAGAGAATGAAAAGGCAGTCAATAATACAAAATGCTAAAGAGATAGTAGAGAATCACACAGCATTCAGGTTTTAGCCTCACTTCTACCTCCCACTGCTACCTTCATGGTACCACATGATACCTAATAATGATCATGATGATATTGATGCTAATTCAGCTCTTAAAATTGTCTTCTAATAGACTTCCCGATATGATTTAATTTTATCCTTATAACGCCCTGTGAATAGATTCTATTGTTAATAGATTCCATATTTACAGACAAAGAATTTGAATGGACATTAAAGTTTGACCAAAGTCACCATTCAGGAATTAAGCACAAATAAATAAGTTCCACAGAATCAATTTTAGTCTAAACAGGGACACTTTTAAGAGTAAAAGAACAGGAGCAAACTGAAAATGTCCTGGGCAAAGTAGGTCATATTATCACCCTGGCTTTTAACTGCTAAGCAGTCTGCCTTGAATCTCCTAGAACCATAAAAGTCAGTTTTTCTGCATCATAATTATTTGCTTGAAGTCAGTCAATTGAGACTTCCTCTACCATTTGTCTTTTCTCCTACCTTCAATTTATTTTATTCTACTGGCTTCTTTAATTGCAAAGTTTTCCCAGCATACAAATCTCTTGAGCTCTGTCTCATGTCCTTGGATTCTTCTATTTACAAAACAGTATATTCTCTCTCAAATATTCTTTGCAGTATATTCTCATATACTTCCACTACTTTTGTTGCTGTCCCTTTCTCATTTCCCTATTTTCATGCAGTGGCCTCTTGTCTCTCTGTCCTCGTCCTTCTTTAGTCTTCCATTCATGCTATTAAAAAACATGCTATTGTTTTTGTAAGTTACCTTTAGAAAAACAAAATTCTGACTCCTTGATTAAAAAGTAAGCCATCATGGTTTCAAGATAATATTTACAGCTTTGTAGCCTTGTCTCCTACTCCCGCTTTATGCTTCAGGCTGAGCAAGGCGTTCATCATCCCTGAGGTCGGTGACCCTCCCCTATCTATCTATGCAGGCCACAAGGGTAGAATAGCACCCAGTAGGCAATAGGGTCTCAGAAGTTGTTTATTAAGGAAATTGTTAAACCAATTCAAAGGCTTCCTAATCTCTAATCTTCTTCATACAGTACTAAAAATAGCATATCTAGGCAAATAATAATTGAATGCATATTTCCTACATTTATTGTATTGACAATGCTGCTGACTTATTAATGAATATGTTACAGTAATGGAAAAAATACTACTGTCTTTTAGAAGAGGAGAAACATGATATTTGCCATCCCAAGACAGAGATACAATCTTATACTTCATTTTAAGCCATAAAAATATCTTTTTACTCAAATAGGTATCTAAGCTATTCTATAGGTGACATTTAAGAAGTTACTCTCAAACCAAATAATTCCACAAAAATCTGACAATGCACAAAAAGATAGCTTTGCTTTGCATGTGTGTTAAGAAATTAATGGGTAATCACGTAGTCATGGATATTCTATATTTGTTTTCCCTTTTAAGACTACCTATTAAGGGTACTTTTTTTGGCTGATGAGAATCACATTGTTGTATAAACAAATAGATCTGGAGTTTTTGACTAAAGAAATGTTTTCAAAGTGTTTTTCCTTTTGTTTATGTTGTCACTGCTTAAAAGGCACTGAGAGATAGAGAGATAGACCCTAGGAAATCTCTACCCTCGCCTCCTTCACTAAGGCCCAATATTTATTATGGGAATGAAAAATGCCTGCCTGCTTAAATTACAGTGTTATGTCATTCTGCCATGCAATGGAATAAAATCACATGTTAGAGAATCATGATAAAATTTGATCTGTTGTAAGGCGGTGGTGGGGAGTGGGGTGGAGTTAGGTGCCTTGTAGTGTTCCTTGGATTAATTAAATAAACTCATTTATAATATTCTTATGTTTTTTAAAAAATTTGAAACTCAAAATATTGTATGATTCTTAAAATAGTAATCAGACAAAATTATGTCAATATTAATATGCTTAAAATTTTGAAGAGAAATGTCTTAACCCAAGTGTATATTATTTTTAAGCAACAGAAGTTACCATTACAATCTAACCCGAGTTCATTGGGCTAACAGACAGTACATGCCTTGGTCTTTACACAGACTGCAAGAGTAAGATTGCCTGCTTGAATTCTCACTCTGCATCTGACAAGTTATAAGACCTTGACCAAATTATTTCTCTGTACTTCAGTATTTTTATAGCATAATAGTTTATGCGTATTAAAGAATAAAATAATGATATATCCCAGATGTCATTGTGAATATTTAAAATATTAATTAGAGCACAGAAGAGTGTTGAGGAATAGCAGACACTCAATAAATATTATGTATTACTATATAAACAAAAGGTTTTGGAGATTTTCTTAGTGGGGAATTATTTCAAATGTATTTTATAATGTTGAGCTAAATTAATTATTCCAAAACACATTTGAATGAATAATAATACACTTCTTATCTATCTTAAACCAAAGCAAGACAATCAAAAGTAAACAAAAAAAAATCACAAACCATTGAGCCAGTAGTGCTCTGAAATGTCAGTTCTGATGTAGTGGTGGTCATGAGTAGGCCCAAGGGATCGAGTGAATGCAGTATCTTTGCCAAGGAAATCAGAAGCTGTTCCAGAGTAGAGGTACTCATCTGAGAGGGAGAAAAAAGTACACAGAACTTTTAAGAGTACAGCAGTAGATGCTATTTAACATGTACAAATTTCACAGCATGACACCAAAGATGTTTGTTTCTTAATATCAGAATGTATTGTTTCATAAATTTCACAGATTTTGAAAATTTATCTCAGTTGAAGAAAAGATAACTCAATTTACTTTGGTAAGCTGATGCTGAATACTTGAATATAAACAGGCCAAATTCTCTGAATTAATAATTGCACATGCATTAGCTTCCCTTTTGAATAAATAATAAGTGTTTCCTCTTTCTCTTCTCCCCACAAATAATTCAAATAAATGTCATAATTAAGAGTTCCTCTTTAGAATAAGACACAAAAAATATGAAAAGCTAAATGCCATAATGAGGAATGGATTGTGTGATTAGTATTTACTTAACTGACACAACCTCAATGACCACAAATTTTCTTTGCCTAACCTCTGGTGAAAGGGAGCTTTCAGCACTGAAGTCATTCTTTGTAATTATAACATGTTGCATTCCTTGTAGCTAATCATGTCTCTAATAGTTCTGATAAACAGGAATTCTTGAAAGGGGAAAGATGTTGCCATTACTGCATACCAAACTTCTTTGTTCTGCTATTTGTGTAAAGTACATGTTCTGTTTCACCAGAGACAGAAAGGAGCAAAAGAGAGAAGGGGAATGTCAAGGAGAAAAAGAGAGAGAAAGGAGAGAAGAACAAAGAAGACAGGAGAAGGAAAGGGAGGAGGAGAGAAGGGATGGTGAGAAGGAGGAAGAAGGGAAGTAAGAGGAAGAGGGGGAAAAGAGGAGGCAGGAGAAGGGGAGGACAAAGAGAAAAGAGAAAAGGCAGATTAGAGAGAGGAAGAGGATGGAAAGAAGGGGAGTGAGAAAAACATAAGGGAAGGAGAAGAAGGCAGCAGGGATCCATGTTCCCTAATGTTAGTCAGGGTGTTGGGAAGGGGTGGGGCGGAGGGGCAGGAAGAAGGCTGTTCCTGCAGGAGAATATGTTGTCTCTTTGAGAGCTAAACCTCTACTATTTCAAGAAACTTCTTAGTCAACCACTTTGCTTTACATTTAATAGAACAATGTAAAAAATGGCAAATCCCTACAGAGCATTTAGACTTTATAAATGCCTAAATATGAGAACAAATACATTGTTTTATCACTGAAATTTATTTTTGCTCAGAAACATATCTTTAAAATTCTGCCTTGTATAAGAAGGGATTAAGATACTTTCTGTAGTCCCTGTTTATATCCATCTAAATAAGCTTTCAATGAACGATCAGGGATAATTCAACCTTAAGAATGAGAATAGCTAACTTCTAAAGGAAATGTGCGCTCACACACACACACACACACACAGAGAGAGAGAGAGAGAGAGAGAGAGAGAGAGAACTCCAGCTATGTAAAGTAGACATAGATAAGGTACTGCTTCCATCCTCTTAGAGTATTTCCCTACAATGTATCAGATAAATGGCAATATTTCATTGTGGGCATATTTTTTAAAAAGAATAAAATAATAACAACAAAGACATTATTAAAAAGTTTGGTAAAAGAAGTGAACTGTCACTTTGAAACCTATAAAATTGCAAGTATTTGAATGTTTTGTTAGGAAAAAATATATTTCAACACAAAAATTAGATCTGAATATCCAGGCTTTCGAACTTCTTCCTTGTCCCTAAAATTACTTGGAGATTCATCAGGAGAGTAACAACTGCCGCCAATCTATTGTTTTGTTTTGTTTTTTTATTAAGGGTATGCCAACTCCATTTCACAGAGCAGAATCACAAACCATCTATCTCATTTTCTGAGAATAATGACTGATCATTAGTCACATAATTTTCAAAAAACACAAATACACACATGCTGTCACTTCAAAGCAAAATCACTAGTTCTCACTAAGTGAAAATTAAAATGTCATGGTGCTTCACTCTTATCGTCTATTCAAACATTTGACAGACAAGTTAAATAGAAAGAGACTGAAGTCATGACCAAACCAAGACAAAAGGAGTCCTTATAATGGTTGAAATTCAGAAGTCTTGCTGACATTCCTTGGAACAGACTTCAGACCACACAGTATTGCTTCTTTGAACAAGATAGTTGTCTCATAAGAGAATTTAAGATGTATACAAAGTGAGAGAAGACTAGCTATGCTAGCATAAATTTCATGTTTCCACTGATATAATCAGGTTATAGTGAAATTGCAAAGGAAGATGTTATAACATTCTATTATCTGTATTCTATAGCTTGATTAATTTGGTTTAATTTACCCACATATGGAATTGCCAAATTTAATTTCTATAATAAGTCAGATAGGGAGATATTACAACATAAGAAAATCCCCAGACATCTAAATATAAAATTATAAAACAAGTAATTATCTGTTCTTTGACATTATAAATATTCAATCAGAAGTTAATTTAAAAAGTAACTGTGCAGACACCATGGATTGCTGTGGCCTTCCTTTAGTGAGAAGGATGCTCAGTACAGACAAATTTGGCACTAAAATAATGGAAACAAATCGCTTGTGGAAGATTAGTAAAAAATTACCTTTAACTCAATAGGAAAATGCGGTTCAGTCAAAAAATAACTCTTAGAAAACCATTTAAGGATAAGAACTGCCTGTCATTGATCTTACCTGTCATTACTGAAGCAAAAGGCTGCTGAGGATCGAAAGGACATTTCAGTCTGCCAGACTCCAAATTATGTGTGTCTAGTTTGAATATAATATCCTGTTATGAGAAATATTAACACTAGTGAACTTTTTAAAAATATTACAAACAGTAAGAATGTGGGAGATACAAACTAAATTCCAACTCATGAATTTGATAAAACTAATTGAGCATATAGCATGTGCATAATGCTGAACTCCTTAACTTTTTAGCAAATATATCTGGCAAGACTTAATAACCATGTTTTGGTCTCCCTTGGCCCAAAGTGGCAATATAATACTGAGTGAATTTTTCAAATGGAAGTAGTAATGTACTCATCAATACATTTAGTCTCCACAATTATCAATATCGAAATCACCACTAAGAACACATATTTCTTGAGCTTTCATGACTAACTTATTGAGCCTAATAAAACCAACTTCATCTTTTAAGAAATAGATTTGCTATAATAATCATACTTTCAGGATAATGATTACAATTTATATAACTAAGCATCTTCAACTATGTCAAATGACTTAAACCCTGTAATAGTTTTTAAAATTATAGTAACATAAAAGTGTTCTAAGGCGGGCAGTTCATTTTCAAGTTGTTGATACATCTGGGTAACAAAAAAATCCTGTTGTAGTATTTCACTATGACGAAAACACTGTACACATTAAACCACATAGTTATTTTGGCTGAAACATCTATTTTTATAATAGTGACCACAGACAGAATGACATTGGCAGACTTTTAGTATTTGGGAAAATAAATAACATCTTAAGTTGAACTTTCCAAGAAAAAATATGAATGTATAATGAATATGGCCCCATGAGATTGAGTGTTTCATAACAATGACAACACTACCATCCAGCAGAAAGGATGATGACTCACTCTGTGTATGCACTAGTTAGAGAAATCCTGCACTTCAGACATTCTGTCTAGGTGATGTATCTATGAAGTTATATCAGAACACACATGTAATAAAAAAGGACCATTCAGTGCAACTTATGTAGAACACAAGCAATAAAGCAAAAGGGACAGAGAAAATTATGTGTTATGTTGCACTTCAGATCTTTGTTTTTCTTTTGAACAAGACCAATAGTAACTATTGCCTCATTTAAAAAAATACTAAACACTAATAGCAATTTAAATAGCCTGGTTAAAAATTTATGGTTCATAATTTTAAGTAAACACACTTTAATACAAATAATAATGGTACCTTTATAATCTACTGGAAATAGGAGATAACAAGAAAGCAAGTTTCCTTGAGCCAGTCAAGGACTCATACAAGAAAATAATATAAAAAATAATGGATGATTCCATGTGCTTCCTGAAATAAACTGACTGAATTAATGGTGCTCTGTATTTTGAGACTTCAACTTTATAAGATTGCTTCTATGAAGTTCCTTATTCTTGATTAATTATGCAAAAAGCACCTGTCTGAGCTACACAGATGGAAATATGGGCAGAGAAGTAAAGATGATACAAGTAGGTAGGAATGCTAGTAAGAAAACATTTATTTATCACAACTCAGCAACATTATTGTTAATATCACGCCTATTTAAAGATACGATCTGCAGCAGCACAGGGGAGGTCCCAGAGGAAATGATACCAAGCCAAGCATTAAACAGCTTTCAAGTTTTCCCAGCACTGTGGGATACAAATATTATTTTATAGAAATATGTAAAATATACATATTGTGTACATCCATGCCTCTTTACCTTTCTGTGTTTCTGTTATCTAGAAATGGATGAATGTTAAGTGACTAGAATGAAGCAAGTGCTATGCCAAATAGTATACAATCATTTTCTCATTTTATTCTCAAAATAACTCTGTGAAATAGTTACTATTATCATTATTTTACTGAATAAGCAGAAGCATAGAAAGTTTATACAGTATGCATACAGCCATGGAGTTAGTAAATGACTGGAACCATATTTCAAACTATGGCCATCTGTCCTCAACTTACTATTAGAAGTTGTTGACAGCAGCACTGACTTCCTTCCTAAATTCCAGCTCCAGTTGCCCACTTGGCATGACCTACTGAACATGCCACAAATGCAGAATGTGCAAAACTAACTCACCATATTTCCCTCAAACTTGCTACTACTCTCACCTCAATAAATAACACCACTCTTCAACTCACTGGCAAAGTCAGGAATCTGGGATTCATCTTAGCTTTCCCTGTTTCTTCCCATTGCCCCAGCCACACTGCATAGCAGTCCCTGAAGTATACCTTTTTCCGCTCCTTTTGTGTATTGCTATTCCCTCTTCCCAGCCACCTTAGGAGGAGCCTTATTTATTTGAAAATGGAAGGTCCTTCTAAACTCCCTCTAGAAGTACAATGATTTCTTGGGACTAATGATTCATTAAAAAAGTTAACAATTTTCAAGCAGGGCTGCCATACAATTACCTGTACGCCAGACCAGCTAAAAACTCAAGGTTCAATGCCCCTGTTTACCCATAATTCTCTTATTCATGGAACTTGTAAATTTGACTGCCCCAGGGCTTCTTGACAGTCCCAAGTTGCTAATTAGCTCCATCTAAATCTAAATTCCCTTTCAGCACTTGTGACTTTTTTTTGTTGTTGTTTGGAGACAGTCTTGCTCTGTCGCCCAGGCTGGAGTGCAGTGGCACAAGCTTGGCTCACTGCAACCTCCGCCTCCCGAGTTCAAACAATTTTCTTGCCTCAGCCTTCAGAGTAGCTGGGATTACAGGCGCATGCCACCACGCTCGGCTACATTTGTATTATTAGAAAAGACGGGGTTTCACCATGTTGGCAAGGCTGGTTTGGAACTGCTGAGCTCTGGTGATCTGCCCACCTCAGCCTCCCAAAGTGTGAGCCACTGCGTCCGGCCAGCACTTGTGACTTTTAAGGAGCTATAAAACACTATTTGCCCCCCTCAGCAGGTTGCGAGTTTGGCCTTTATCCTTAGGCCTCAAAACACACTCAAACTGTGGGGCTATATCAGATAATTACACCCTATGCTATGAGCTAATGTTATATATTACCCTTCATCAGAGTTAGACAAGAGAACATTACACCACCAACAAAGAATGATGGATTCAAGTTACCAAGTCTCCTAGTGGCTCAGAAATTTAACTGTCAGGGTTGCTTTATTTTGAAACAGTTGAGTCTGGGCTGGTTAGACAAGTTGGTTAGAAAGGAAAATCCATCCATCCATAGTTGTGGGTTTGATCTCTGTGTGAATCAGCTAAGTCAATGTAAAGAAACCTTTTCCATAAGCCCAGACTTTACTTTCAAAAACACAGCGAATTATCCTGCAAATATGTGTGGTTACTCACAAAAAGTACAGTCATGCATCACTTAAAGACAGGGTATGTTCTGAGAAGTACATCATTATGCAATGTCATCATTGTGTGAACATCACAGAGTGCACTTACACAAACCTAGATGGTATAACCTACTGCACACCTAGGGTATATGGCATAGCCTATTGCTCCTAGATTACAAACATGTACAGCTTGTTACCGTTGAATACTACAGGCAACTATAAGACAATGGTAAGCATTTGTGTATCTAAATATATGCAAACATAGAAAAGATACAGTAGAAATAGGGTAATGTAATCTCATGGAGCTACCATATTGTATGCAGCCTATTGTTGATGGAAACCTTGTTATGATGCACATGACTGTACTTACATAAACATGAGGATGACATTGCACATCACCAAGAAACAACTGGGGGCACTTGTCCTAAAGCTCAGTTGCTCATGCTTGCTCTAGAGATAGACTGCCTTGATTCAATTTGTTGCAAGACCATTTATTAGTTGGGTGATGTAGCATGTAATTTATTCCATTGAGACTTAATTTTTACTAACCTGTAAATTGGTAATTATAATGACACTGGCTTTATTAAGAGTGTTGTGAAATTCCAAAGCAATAATCCATGTGAAGTGGATGGCATGAAGTCCATAACACAAGGACAGTAAACTAAAGTACTGGTAAATAATTTAATTGCAAAAATATGCATGTTTTTCACTTATTAAAGCACTCATTGAGATCTGGAATACATGACTCCTAATTAATACATCCTTTATTTCCATTATGCCAATTTGGTCCAGCTGAAACAATAAAGTCATTGTGCCAATGACTATACACTTTTAAGAAAATTATTAAAATATTCTTTACTTAGTGTCCACTATTATACATAACAGGTCAACTTTATTAGATAGGAAAATGAAATTATTTATATAATGCAATTCCACTGCAAGATCTTATGGAAAATGAATTTTTACCAATAGCAACATACTATGTATATCTAGTTAAAAAGGAAAGTCAAGAGAATATAAAGACATACATGGAGCCCATAGAAAACAAACACTTTTAACATTTTACACTATTAATTTTGATCATCCTGCTAAAAACAACTTTTAATAGAAAAAACATTTTTAAACATTTTTATTTGGTAGATCAAGTATATGGTGAAAATGATAGTCCATAGAATGGCTAGGAACATGAGTTACTATATCGTTCATAAACTATTCATTTTTTGTTTTGTTTTGTTTTAAAACAGGATCTTACTATGCTGCTTAGGATAGATTTGAATTCCTTGGCTCAAGGGACCCTCTGACTTCATCCTCCTGAGTATTGGCATTACAGGCAGGCACCTCCATGCCTGGCCATATATGTTTCAGTCCTTATATTCAAATCTGCCTGTTTTATGTCATAGGAATTAAGTAGTAATGTATTACAATAAATTATGCTTTTCATGCTTTTTCATTATATTACCTCCTTGTAGACTCCAAGATCAATATACCCACATATTGGATGAAATGCTCCAGTTCCACACACATATATGTGAGTTTTGTTATAGGGCTGAAGTACTCTGATGAAATTTGCACATTCTGTCTGTTGGGCACAAAAATTAAAAGCATTAACACACAATTCAGGTTTTTGAAATATTATCATTTATGCCACCTGTTTTCCAAGTAGATCAATCTTCAAAAATAAGAGCACAAATGAAAAAAGATTTATGAGAAATTCTAGACATCTGTTGTAGCAAACGAGGCAAGACAAATATAGAAACCATGGTATAAAGGAGTAGCTTTTTAGATTTTTGAAGTTATAAAACCATTGAACTAATCAGAATTAGGTTAATTAGAATGCAAGTCTATAGTGGTACTCAGTGAGCCCTAGAGAACGGATATAAACAGAATATGAATTAGACGTCCATATTTAAAATTTTCTCTTTTTTTTTTTAGAGATGACACCTCTCTATGTTGTCCAGACTGGCCTCAAACTCCTGGACTCAAGAGATCCTCCTTACTCAGCCTCCTGAGTAGCTAGGACTACAAGCACCCACCACCACACACACCTGGTATCCTTACTTTCTACAAGAAATACATAGAACACAGAATTTATCATGATCTGTTGTTACCACATAATTTATACCATATAGTTACTACTGTTTGCAATGTCATCTGTCTCAGCTACACTGAACAAAACACTGAACACAAACGTGCATCTCTACCTATGTATTCAATTCTTATTGACCAGATGCCCTACCACTTATTGCCATTTATTTTCCAGTGTTACAGAGCCTCTAAGAATCAGATTATTTCTTGATAATTTCCATAATCTCTGTTTTTTCTCATGGACTTTTTTTACACCAAGTCAAATTTTTGAAGAAATTTTTGTTTCTTTCTGTTCTGCATATGCTTATGCCTAAAAATATTTCTTTATGTCATCATTATCTTTAGAACTTAATTATTTCATATGCTTCAGATAGCAGTAAATAGTGGCTCTCTCTCTTTTTAGAGTATTTATTCTTGTTATTGTATATTATTTTCAACCTATCTCCTGCAAGTGATACTCTATCTTTACATAAATGTTACATGCAATTTCTTAACCGTGGCTTCATGATTCTTGGATCCAATGACACCTAAGTAAACACTGGGCTGGAGCAGACTTTTATTCTAGGTTGGCTTTACCCAGGAGACAGGCAAGTGTTGGGTTATTAAGGAAGTTGGTAACCTGAGAAACCACTGGATTGCATAGAAAAAGTCCAGTTTCTTTCTGCCCAAGTGGCCATAGGTTACTCACCAGTCAGGCATGGACCTAATGGTCCACTGTTGCTGTTGGGGTTCCTAGGAGGAATATATTAAAAAACAAACAAATAAATAAAAAACCCAACAATAGACAATAACCTAACTGGTAGGGTGGTTCTTAGAATGAAATAAAATTTTTTAAAAAGGCAGACAATGACTTAATGATAGGATTGTTATGGCTGTTATGTAGATTAAGTGAAATAATATAAATTTAATATTTGTTTATTCCTTACCCTGATTTTGAGCTATACAAAATACTAATATCCTAGTGGTTGCTTTGATTTTAAAGTGAATAGCTATGTCTACAGATCTGAAGATCTGAGGTACAATGTTTCAACTGGCATATATATATATATATTTTTTTTTTTTCTTTGAGACAGGCTGCTGGAGTAGTGGTGCGATCTTGGCTCACTGCAGCCTCCGCTTCCCAGGCCCAAGCAATTCTTTAGCCTCAGCCTCTTGAGTAGCTGGAACTACAGGTGCAAGTCATCAACTCCCGGGTAATTTTCGTGTTTTTTTTGTAGAGACAGGGTCTCGCTTTGTTACCTAGTCTGGTCTTGAACTCCTGGCCTCAAGCAATCCTCTCTCCGTGGCCTTCCAAAGTGCTAGGATTACAGGCATGAGCCACCATGGCAGGCCGATACTAATAGTTTCGAACAAACAATTAAGACAAAGTAATATGAGAAAAGATAAGATAAAAGTATGAAAATGTACATGATCACCAGGTAAATTTTATTGATGACCTCATGGCTAGAGTAGGAGGTTTTATAATCCAGCCTTTGCGCACTCATGCTCACTTTTTGAAAAGATTTTTATTCCTTGGTTTTTCCTGCACAAAGACATTCGTACATAGGGGAG
Source organism: Homo sapiens (assembly GCF_000001405.40). Lineage (NCBI taxonomy): Eukaryota > Metazoa > Chordata > Mammalia > Primates > Hominidae > Homo > Homo sapiens. The sequence continues at coordinate 85,075,139 of NC_000007.14, forward strand.
AGTATGCAGGGCAGGGAAGAGTAAAATCATATGGCTGGAGTGAGGGAGGACTGACTCACCACCAATTAGTTCACCATTTTTTCAAAAGCTCAGTTAGAATTTAGAAAGTAATTTTGCAAGATTCTGAAATAAATATTTGGATAAAGAAATATAACTCCCTTTCCAGATTTTAAATTATGGAGTCAAACAGATTAGAAGCTACCAGTGATGCAGCACTGTTTATAAAGACAAATATGGTCCAGGGCAACATTTTATACACAATGGGGATATAATTTTGGTGATTATTAAAAAAAAAAAAAACCTCTGAATCACACCTATTTTATTTCCTTTCACTTTTCTAGGAGTATTTTATTAAAATGGTGCTAGTCCTAGAAAGTAGCCTAATATGCCAATTTCCTGACTTGACAAGGCATACCTCAGATTAATTTATGAAATTCCTCCCTTCTGTCTGATTGGGCTGACATGGAATAAAAAAAAAGTATGTGTGAATCTTGAATTATCTGACACAGTTTACAAAAATGTCAGTTGTGCTCAGTCAAATTTTTCTGTAGGGAATTTGAGAGAGGATAGTTCTCTAAGCAGCCTAGAGGCAATAGAAAGGCCTTGGCTGCCTGGGCAAAAGAAATCTGTGAACAGAGATCGTAAAAGATAAGGTCTCCCACTTTAAATTTTACCTGAGGTTGACATTTAAGCCAAACAATACTTGTTGCAAAAAAACTTTACAATGACTTCCCTTTCAACTCATAACTTCATTTTTTAAGTCTCAGAAATCCTATGTTGTTTTATTCTTACACACAAAGTTTCAAAGATTTGTTTAAATAGCATGATCAATAATTAACTTGATTTAATTCACTTAGTGACCTGCAAGGCTATCAGTGGTAGTGTAATTCTGTGAGGCACGAAGAAAGATAACTTTGAGAAGCAGCCTTTGTAACTTTCCCTGAAAGCTAATTTGTCAGCTATTGCCCACAATGTTGATCATTGCATGTGACCAAACAATCCAGGGAGTAATGTATTCAACTTAGGACAAGTATTGAATTTCTCCTTCCTTCCTTTATTCCTCCTACCTACATGGCTTTCCGTAGGCCCTACCCTACCCCCACTGGAAGAGAAAGAAAAAGGGAAGAGGGGGAGAAGAAGAGAGAAAGAACCAAAGCAAATATCAACTTTTTAATTATCTTAAGTAATATTAGATGTTTCAATATTTCATCTCTCATATATATTCATACATATATAAATAACTAAATAGACAAGTATAAAACTGAATTCATACTTGCAGAGAAAAAAAGCAAAAATATATTAGTCTATGCATTAACACTTAGAATTTTAGTTTCTCCCCAGATACCTGGAAAGATAATAGCAAAATAGAAGTACTTGTAATTCTCAAGACATATGTAGGGTCCAATAAAATCCAAAACAGCTTTATATCTATTCTGATAACTGACTTACAGTAGCTAATTTTAATTTATTTATGTTAAATATTAGAAGATACTAATGATTTTGGAATCTTAACTGGTTTTATTTTTAATGTGTGTTGCAGAATATTGTGATCATCAAACATTTTTTGACTTTTCACCTATCTCTGTCTCTGAGCTACATGTTAGGCTTGTCTAGAAGTTCTCGGACAGGATCCAGGATGCAGAGATCAGTTTAGGTCTTAAAATCTTTAAAATAGGGCTGTGCGCGGTGGCTCACGCCTGTAATCCCAACACTTTGGGAGGCCGAGGTGGGTGGATCATGAGGTCAGGATTTCAAGACCAACCTGGCCAAGATAGTGAATTTTCTCTACTAAAAATACAAAAATACAAAGAAAAAGAAATAGCCTGGCGCTGTGGCAGTTGCCTGTAATCCCAGCTACTCAGGAGGCTGAGGCAGGAGAATCGCTTGAACCCGGGCAGCAGAGGTTGCAGTGAGCCGAGATTGCGCCACTGCACTCCAGCCTGGGCAACAGAGTGAGACTCCGTCTAAAAAAAAAAAAAAAAAACTTTAAAATATTTTAATAGATTGTTAATACTTCAAAATAAAAATAGAAAAACTCATATATCACATTTATATCTTAAAAATGAGAGATCTAACAGTGAAGATTTCTACAGAGCAATAATCAGTTACGGTAAAAGTGCAAAAGAAAACATTTTAAAGAAAAAGATAGAAATGACTATTTAAATAAAGTGTATACATCAAATAAGGTAACTGATAAAGTGATAAAGAATATGTTTTTCACGAGTGGAACACAAGGTATTATACTGTATGTATACTCTATACATATTTATGTTATACAAATATGTCTACCTATACGTGTGTGTGTATATATATTATATATGTTTTATAAGTCTGTAAATAATCAGCACGAAAAAGGCAAACAGGAAAATTAAAAAAATATGGGCCGCAGGGATATGCTATTTAAAAATTATATTTTGCAATCATATAAGATGTTTAGTGTTGAGAGTAATGAAAAAATTTCAAGCTAAAACAGCAAAAATAATTTTCTTTTTATTGGCAAAGAATAAATATACATATTTTATTCATTCATATGCATTTGTATTAAGCATTAAATGTATGTTGTATTCAATATTAACAATGGTATAATAGGTAAATACACCCTCCCTTGATCACATACTGCTGGTAAGAGCATATGAGGCATAAACTTTCTGGAGGGCAATTTGGCAATATGTTTATAAAAATTTTTATGTCCTTAACTAGTAAAAGTCTACTCAATAATCAAAGATATTCACAATATTTACATAAAATTTTTTCATGTACAGTGTCATTTTCAATAGTAAAACTGGATATGTACCAAACTTCTAACAATAGGGGATTGATTAAATAATACATAAAGAAATGCAGTGTAACTATTAAAAGTAGTGTTAAAGAATTTAATGACATGGGAAAATGCTCATGGCAGTCTGTGAAGTAAAAAAAAATAAGTGTTTTAAGTGACTATGTATACAATGATTTCATACTGAAAATTAGTAAATAGATAAGATAGAAAAATAAACATCAAAATGTCACCAGTTATCTCTGGTTAGTGTTCATGGGGGAGAGGTATTTATAAATGACTTGTTTTTCTTTTTTTGCTTGTATATAATTTGCAAACTTTCTACAATGAACATTCTATTTTAGTTTTAGACTTTCTTGAGAGAAAAAAAGGAAGAAAAAAAGAAAGTGAGAGGAAGGAAGGAAAGAAGGAAGGAGGGAAGGAAGGAAAGAAGGAAGGGAACGGAAGGAAGGAAGGAAGGATATAATAAAAAAACTGAAGTTCCGGAGGACGCTTTAACTTTGTGTAATGTCTGTGTGGACAGGCTGTGCCCCTCTGTGGTTGAGCTGACAAACAGAGCCCAGGCTACCCTCACCCTGTGGTTTCTTTTGCTTGGAGTAAGCTGTTTAACCCACAATTATATAGTCAGAACTAAAGACATTTCTTTAGTTACTTTCTTTTGAATAACTTTCCTCTAAATAGAAGCAAAATACTACCAAATATCTTTCTGTCATCTCTACCCTTCTTTGGATTAAACTGGGGACTATGTTCAACAAAGTGGAATAGTTCCCTTTTGTTTCCTCATCTTCTACTATCCCCACCCCAATTAGCTAACTTTCATTAGGGTAAATAATTCACTGTTTTGCAGTTACATAGTACCTTTGTGTAAAGGGACAGTCTTTCCAAACAGTTGTTAATCCTAAACACACTCTTGGGAAGTAGGTAAAAATTACTAGAGAGGAAGAAGGAGAAAGGGTAATGCCAAACGTAATAAAAGATGTCAATAAAACCACAGAGCTGTCTCAGTTTTCTGTCCGCCAAAATCTATGTAATGCTGTTAAAAATGAGGATCTATGTTCTGGTGATATTATAGAAAGAAATAACTTGAAGGATATAGTTTTTGGATCTTATATGGATATTTTATAATGTTATGTAAGAGCACAGACCTTGGAGCAAGCTTTTTGGATTCAATCCCCGGCTTTACTATTTACCAGATGCATGATATTGGGCAAGCCATTTAAGATTTTTTGCTTTAGTTTTCTCATCCAGAAAATAGAAAATAATAATAAAATCTAGCATATAGTGTTGTCATAAGGATTAAATGAGGTTATACATGTAAATCATTGAAAACAGTTCCTTGAACATGGTAACTGCTACAAAAATGTTAGCTATTATTAGAAGCTCTAAAATGAAACATTATTTTAAACGAACAAGTTAAAATGAGGCAAAAATTAAAAATTATCACTACATGATTCAACATCAAACTACAGACTTCAGCAAAAAGCAAAAAGCTCCTCATATATTTAATCCTGGGTTAGCAGCAAATGTGTTTAAAGGTTAGAGGTGGTTACTAGCTCACAATTATGACTGAATTGGAATAATATGTTCTATATACAGAATCCTACATGGTCAAGGATATCACCTCCAGAAAAGTTTATCACCATTTGCTTTAACTTAATAAGAGGGGCAATTAAGTTACTATGTAACTGGAATTAGTGAACATACCCAAGTGAGAGCACTGTCAGAATTTAAACCTTCACTGATTGTTTGACCTTGACTGTTTATCCCTGATCTGCTCCATGGGAAAACCATTTTACTGGAGTAAATTGAAAACATCCTTTTCCTTCTTGCCTCCTTATCGTATACTCAATACTGGTGAAACACAAATACAAAAATGTTCATGCTGGTTATGCCATGCTTATACTGTCCATTAAATGACATAATTTGAAAAACTCTCATAACCAAAGCATTTCATTCTCTGTGAGTGTTCAGTAAAGTATCGGTGCTTTTGCAGACCTTGGTACCTGTTTGGTGTTGGACTATTGAACTGGATGAAGATACCAAAGCCGTGGGAGGAGAAGAATACATTACAGAATAGTTTAATTCCTTTCATTTCTAGTGACCGAAATGTAAAAACTGTTTCCCACTGCATTTTATGTTAACACTCCCTGATATATTTCCGCTAATATAAATATGCCTGAAAGGATGACATTTAATTATGTTAATAACTGAATATAAAATCAGGGGTCACTACAAGTTTGTTTTGTTTCATTTCAACTATTTTGCTTTGTATTTACTATGTAGAAGTCATCATTTGAGCAGTATCTGTATCCCCCATTAGATTGAAAGCTCCATAAGGACAGATATGATGAGTTTCATATACATATTTAGGATCTCTAAAAATATTTTTTGAATAAATGAATAACAAATGAGTGAACTAACCTGTTGTCTGAGATTATTAGCCTTCTGAGCGTCCCCTCACAACCTTAGGCATTATATGTCATATTTTATTTCTATCACATTGATAGAGGATTCTTTAATCTATTCATCCTTTCATATAACAAAGACTATTTGTTATTATTAAATATGATGGCATAACTGAGCTTAATACCCCCGCATTATTGTGGTTAGAGGTACGATTAAAGGATGGTGCAAAAGAAGCCTCAAGATGTCTATGTTTCTGCCCCAGGTTACAACCTGTTTTCATCTTGGGTTACAATTTGAATGTGATTTATTTTGCCAAAAAAAGGAGCAATTCTCCCCATTACCATAATGCAAGAAGTCAGGACAGAAGACAGAATATCTGTCCTGAATCAGAGCACTCGGATGAGGAGAGGAGCCAGTCAGAGCCATAGCCCTCATTGCTGGAGATAAATCAGGTTACATGATTAGAGGGAGCATGCAGGACAACTTGGACAGTGCAGAAATCAAGACAGATAGGACCATACCAGAGACAAAAAGTCATACCTAAGTGTTTTCTCTGCTCTTCAAGGCAGCTTAAACTAAAAGTTTCATTAGTACCCTCTATTTGTCTTTTATGAGTTATTTTATATAATCATTATTACTAATACATAAATTTCAGAGGAAGTAGTTACTAGTTCTTACGCCAGAATGCTGTCATTCATTATTAACTAATTCTTATTGTTCTTTCCATTATGTCACCACATAAAGGAATTCTTATAGATATTTTAAGTTTAATTTGAACTCAGTTGAAATTATGTATCAATTCTGTTTGTGATGCTAAAATAACTGAAGGTTTTGTGTACACTTACAAAAACATGTATGCATAAATGAAAAATACATGTTCCTAGAACTACAATCTTTTGGATGGTTTATTTTTGAATACTTTAATGTGTTTCTAATCTTTTTTGTGACAAAAATAATATTCAGAATTAATACATTAGAAAGTAGAGTGTTTCTACATTTCTTAAATTTTATAAATAATATCATGGCTTTTGGTAAGATAGAGATATTTTATTCCACATTAATATTCACATAGAATATGTTAGTTTAGTCTGAAAAATAATACACTAATACCATTAATTCAGTAAAGCCCAATATAAATATTTGCTATCATATCAGTAGAAGTTTTACAAAGATAATTGTTACAGTTTCATACTTACATTGGCATCTTTCCCAGCTAATTTACATAATTCCACCCGTTCCTTTGCAGCAGGCCAATAAATCTGCAAAACATTTCAAAGTATGTTACAACCTGAATATCTGAAACACCCTAACACTCTGCAATTCTGCTCAGAGAGTGAATGTGTGAAATTGAAGAATGAGTATTAAGCATGTTGTTAGAGTCAATGTGGGAAATTTGAGATTTAAATATTTCCCAAAGCCACCCTGAAAGTTTCTAAAAGAAAAGTGTCTAGTACTATCCATTTTTGTGAATCTTCTGGTCTCTATTTTAATGTCTGTAACAGTAGATACATTATGTTCAGAGGTCCATAAGCTTTATCATGATGTCAACAGAATTTCACATGAGCATTTGCCTAAATAAGAGGCTGTATGTACCATGTTTTTCTGTGTTTACTCAGAGTAGTAGTACATTATAAACATGTGCCATGAAGTGTTAGAAACAACTCTCTGTCAGAGCATAACTTCTTTCTCCAAGCCAAGGACCAGTGTGAATTTGTTGACAATATTTAACATGCTTGGAGCTCAGATGCATCTGCCACTTAGCTAAATGTTTTATAAGCATTCTCTTACTTAAATTTCACAATGACCCTCTGAGATGGCTGTACTTATTCTTCCCATTTTGAGATCAGAAAACTTAGTCACATAGCCTTTAAATAACGTGTTGAGGACCACAAAACTTATGGCAGAGCCACAGTCTGACTCAAAGTCCATCTGACTCTTGAACTGGGGGGGTCTCAACCATTACATAAGTCAAGGGCTCCAAACTCATTGGTTGATAGCTTTCAATTATGCTTCACGATCTTGAGTTCAAGGCTTTTTTCTTTCTTTTAAATTCTGTCAGGAAGTTTTTGTAGGAATTCTGTAAGAAAGTTTTTGCAAAATAAATTTTAAGCAGTTATGTAACTCCATTAGCTTACAGAAAGAAATGCTCTCTGTTAAGCTATAAGCAAGAAGGAACAAGAAAAGCAAGCTCTAAAATACTTATAATATATGCTCCAGGAGTTCCCGATAGACTTTTATTATGTTTCTCACCAATGGTAGCAGAAAATATTTTAATAGGTGACAAAAAAAGAAAATATCCTGAGGGAATACACTGAAAGAGACTTGTTAAACCTGGAATTAACAAAGGATTTAGAAGTCATCAATGTTTATATGATATTATCTTTGTGGTGAAATTTTAGGGTTTTATGTCTCTAAATAAAGAACACAGTATAGCATTCAAAATAGACAAATACAATGAAATTATTGAGATTTTAAACCGGAGCAAGATTGTTTACTTAGAGAAGATCTTAACATTCACAAATTACAATCCAGATATGTATATAGGCAGGTGGTGGAGGCAGCAGAGGCTCAAGTGATCAGCTAACCTTGATAAGGTACACAATGCCGACTAGAAAATGCTATTTATTCAGAAATGGTTTGAATCACTGTAGTTCTACTATCACACAACTTTAAATAGTAGCCAGCAGTCAAATATCAGTGAGCTGCAGCAATGAAAAGCAATATGAATGGAAATTAGCAACTCATTATTAGGTCTAAAAAGAATATCTCCTCAAATTGCAAACCGCACATCTTGCTTTAGAATAAAGTTAAAAGCAACTAAAATAAAATGGTTACATTTCAGGTGTATAGGTGGGTGGATTTAGAAAAATGGCCAGCCAAAATGGGAAACGAGGGGAAGGATGACTTGGAGGTAAGAAACAGGTTATTTACCAGATTCTAGCATTTGTGCTTGAGGGTGCATTTTTCACGTGTTTAACAACATAATTAAGAAAAAGAGAATAATGTAAGTTAGTAAATAGATTAACTAAAGTGGGCAATGCATGGACCAATGGACAATGGTTAGTCATAAACCCAGAATCGTGAAGCCATAACTCAATAATCCAGATGGAACACTGCAGCTGGCCCAAAATTGGAACGTTTCTTCAAATGTTGTTTGTTTGTTATTTTTGTTCTGGTTGTTCCTTTGTTATTCATCATTGCTGGCAAAAATACTGGACTGAGTGCTTCTTAAAAATTGCATCGGCCGGGCGCGGTGGCTCACGCCTGTAATCCCAGCATTTTGGGAGGCCGAGGCGGGCGGATCACGAGGTCAGGAGATCGAGACCATCCTGGCTAACACGGTGAAACCCCGTCTCTACTAAAAATACAAAAAAAAATTAGCCGGGCGTGGTGGCGGGCGCCTGTAGTCCCAGCTACTCGGGAGGCTGAGGCAGGAGAATGGCGTGAACCCGGGAGGCGGAGCTTGCAGTGAGCCGAGATCGCGCCACTGCACTCCAGCCTGGGCGACAGAGCGAGACTCCGTCTCAAAAAAAAAAAATTGCATCGGCCGGGGGTGGTGGCTCACGCCTCTAATCCCAGCACTTTGGGAGGCTGAGGCAGGCAGATCACGAGGTCAGGAGATCGAGACGATCCTGGCCAACACAGTGAAACTCTGTCTCTATTAAAAATACAAAAAATTAGCCTGGCGTGGTGGCAGGTGCCTGTGGTCCCAGCTACTTGGGAGGCTGAGGCAGGAGAATGGCGTGAACCCGGGAGGTGGAGCTTGCAGTGAGAGGAGATCGCGCCACTGCACCCCAGCCTGGGCGACAGAGCGAGACTCCATCTCAAAAGAAAAAAAAAAAATTGCATCTTGAATTCAGAGTCTTTGCTTTAGATATGAGCTTATGAACTCTCAAGGTATCCTCTCACTTTTTCCCCCCTCCACTGGTCCAATTTTATTATTATTTTTAATTTTGGTTAAAAACGCATAACATAAAATTTACCATTTTAACAATTTTCAGTGTAGAATTCAGTAATGTTAAGTATATTTACATTGTTGTGCAGCCAATCTCTAGAACTTTTTCATCTTGCAAAAGTGAAATGCTGTACTTGCTGGTTCTTCAATAATACAGTGATTTTACAAAGGACAACTTTATATCATTGGACTGAAAATAGTACACAGAATACTTTTCCATAACCTGTCAATTGATTTAATATTTTTAATGCACTCAAAATATATTTATTGATGCAGACCTTGTGCCTAGGAAAGGTTTTTTTTTTCAATAATATTTTCTTTTTTTTTCCTTTCTTTTTAACTTTTACTTTTAAGTTCAGAGGTACAAGTGCAGGTTTGTTACACAGGTAAACTTGTGTCATGAGGCTTTCTTGTAAAGATTGTTTCTTCACCCAGGTATTAAGCCTAGTACACGTTAGTTATTTTTTCTGATTCTCTCCCACCTTCCACCCTCCACACTCCAAAATGTCCCACCGTGTGTTGTTCCCCTCTCTATATATCCATGTATTCTCATCAGTTAGCTCCTACTTATAAGTGATGAGAACACATGGACACATAGAAGTCCATTTTGTAAGTATTTGGCTTTCTGTTCCTGTGTTAGTTTGCTAAGGGTAATGGCCTCCAACTCCATTCATGTTTCTGCAAAGGACATGGTCTGTTTCTTTTTTTTATGGCTGGGTAGTATTCCATAGTGTACATGTACCACATTTTCTTTATCCAGTCTACCACTGATGGGCGTTTAGGTTGATTCCATGTCTTTGCTATGTTGCCAGATTAATATTTCTTTGAATCATTTCAGCATGTAAGATCCTGTTCTTTTTTTGTTTGTTTTAGATGATAATCAGGTTTAATCACATTTAAGGAATACATGTAGGGCAAATATCTATAGATTTTTTCAAAATTACATATCATACAAATAATAATGTAGGAAACAAAAAAATATATAACTCTTTCATATTAAGTAAATGAGTCTTAAAAAGGATAAAGGCCATCACAGGGTTTTATTTTTTACTTCAAATCATAGTATTGGGTGATTGAGTTAAATTAAATTATGAGATAAATGATGCCTCCAAAATTAAATGTGAATATATTCACTAGTGCTTCTAAGAGGAGGGGCTTATTTAAAGAATGACAAAATGTGGAAGCACTCTTTATATCGTTTTTGAAACCTAAATAAAAGTTTCAAAGTTAGCACCAAGTAGTTACTCTTCATTAACTATTTGTTCATTAGACATATAATTATGAAAGGCCTTCTGTATGTCAGCCAAGGCATCAAATTGAGGTGCTTGGGTCTGAGTTAGGATGGGAGATACAGAGTGACAAGAGAGTACACGGGATGAAATCACCGTGCCCAGGGAGCACTGTGGAGCGCTTACTGGCAGTCTCTACTTTTGATCCTCTGTTTTAAAGTACTTGCTCTTAATAGTTTCAACTCTAATATAATAGTTTGGTTTAGCTAGATGGTTTCAACTCTAATTTTGTCTCAGGGACTTGACACTAAAATAGCAATTGCACATATATTCTCTTTGTAAAGGAATACAAATCTGTAAAAGATGCTTTAATGTTTTTGTTGTACATTTTCAGTTATTGCTTATAAGTCACATAATTGTAATTTGAGTTGCACCATCCTAGTTGATGAAGCCATACAACTAATTACAAGCTTCAGAGAACTGACTTTTTGATTAGCAAGTAAATGTTATATACAAGCACAGGGATTATGAGCTAGGATCACAAAGAAAATTTTACTTCTTAAAGTAAAATTAAAACCTTCAAAAATAAGGATTTATTGAAATTATACATTGGCTTATTTTGACACAATGCTGCCAAGGTTTAGTCATCACTAACAGAATTACCTTAAGCAAAAACAACCTATGATATATCTGATTGTCTTTTAGACTCTAAACATTTACTTAGAAGGGAAAAATAGTCATTATAGCTGTGTCAATATTGAAAAGATGTCAGTTTAATTATGATTTGTGGTGGATTTTTTTTCTTACATACTACCTAGTCATTAAAGAGATTTTTTTTAAATATTCATTTTTATTCCTAATTGATAAAGAATTTAAAGAGACAGAATTTCCCTTAATTCAATCTAAAAACACGAAAAACAAGACAAAATCATTTTTAAAGATCCGCTCTTATTCTTACATAGAATTGGCAAAATTTTCAATAATCTTTTGAAGTGTTATATGTATATATATATCACATTATATATAATCTTTATATAATGCGATATATAATGTACAATATACGCACATATATAACAGCATTCCACTATTTTCATATTTTTCTAGTCTCTTTCTCTCTCTCTCTCTCCGTGTGTGTGTGTGTGTGTGTGTGTGTGTGTGTATAGATGCATGTGGAGGGGGAAAATAGTAAGAGAGAGAAAGACAGAGACACACGCAGTTATATAAAGGGAAAAATAGAGATGTCAACTATAGGGTCATTGGGTATAGAATAAGATATGTTTCACATACAGGCTGAAGTTCCAGCATTGTTGTACAAGAGCCCAAGAGGTACCTGTGTTCCTTGGATTATTTTAGTGGCCTAGTCAGTACACTTTGAGATTGCGTCACTATTAGACAAAAGTCACACCATATAGTTAAAAATATAATGTCCACATTATCTATTAAAAGTCAGCCCTCAGGATCAATAGTTAATATGAACAATTTTGAGACAGTGATTATTAATATTCTTACTGCCTTTTGAATTTATCAGCAATAAAATGCCACATAAATCTTCTTACACTGTAGTGTGTCTTGCACACAGTATCCTGACATATTAAAAGTTGCATGAAACAGCACACAACAAAGCACATGGCCCTGTTTCTAAAAGCTGATGCAACCGTATTTGTCCTTTAGAAAGTCATCCACAGATATTTTTCCTTCACTTATCAAAGAGAGTCATACCAGAAACAGAGATGCCATTGCCTAATGGCCAGATTTTAATTGCTCTGAAATATTCCCACAAAACACTAATTCTTAACTAACCTTGTGCTGATGCACCAGATACAGATTTTAAGGATATAATTTTGGTGGGTTGTGGTCTTTGGGACCTTAGAGCCTTGATATCAAGGACTGCAAATATGCAGAGAGCTTACTGTTGCTGTCTACCCACGTGCAGGAGACATCAGAAATCAAACGGAGATCTTTTCTGTGGATCCAGAAGAACCTAAGAATTCCTCTCAACTTACTTATTCAGGGTATAGCTAGTAATTGAACAATTATTAAACAATACTTGCAAATTGGTTTTAATTTGAGTGCTAATTCTTACAGATCTAGTTGATAACAGAAAACTGGCAAACAGAAGTAAATAAATTTATAAAATGTCTTCACTTGGAAATAAGAGTTTATGGGTCAACACTGTTAAACAAGTATGTCTCATAAGCCAGTCCTCATATTCTATAATTTACTGACCCATATTAGTATATTTATGTTGCCTTTATAGTATTTCACAATTGATTATTTCCAAAGGATTAATTTTTTCATGCTAACCTTGGAAGGCTCAAATATTATTATCTAAACATATATCTGTATATTTTCTTTTAGAGTTGTATAGCTTACTAGTATGAAAAGAGACCATATTATTGAAATAAAAATTGTCTTCAGTGCCTCCTTAAATAGGCTTTGTGCATAAAGTTATAGTTTAAACATATTCTTAAAAAGATTTAATAATACTTTTTTATGTAAATATAGTGTAAACTGTCTGAATTTATATTGATTTTATTTACTTTTCTCTGTCCAAAATCCAAAACAACTTTTTGTCCTTTTAATATTATTTTTACTTCATTTTGAAAAAATACTTAGAAGGGACTCATAAAATATTGCAGTATCCCTAACAATTGTTGTTTCACTTATCTTTTAGTAAGGTGAAAATGTCAGACAATTAATTTTTAATTATTCAGTGTTAGGCAAGTTACAGAAACATTCAAATAATGATAAGACTTTATAACAACATCCAAAGGAAATTCTAATTATATCTGCTCTTTGTTTCATCTTTGGAGAAGCAATTTAATTGACTCAAGTTAGCAAGTGCAAGGTCAGTCAAATGCCCCTCAGCCTAATTCAGAGATGTCAAAACAACTGAATGAGACACACAAAAGGAAGTTGAAACTTATTCATAAAAACCTAATTAAAGACAAAAATTCAGAACCCTTGAGATAGTGGCCATCTCTTTCAAAAAACAGGATACAAGTTTTTAAATGGCTTTAAAGAAAAAAATGTCACTCTGAATGCTATATGATACAAGGATTTGAACAACTAAAAGAGCAATGGTTACTCTGGGTTCCCAGGACAGGGAGGTGTTTTCCTGTTGCAAAACAAGAGCAACAGCGCCAAAGGTAAAGCTTGCGCAGTGGGTATTGGCCTGGCCTAGATAGAAATTGTTACAGAAGGGAAGTTTAATTCTCCATTTTTGTTTTGTTTTGTTTTGTTTTAGATTTTTATATAAGGGCAGGCCTACAAATTTTCCAAGAAAATGTGCTTCAATACAGAAGATGGAGTTCCAGGCAAAGTCTAAAGTGGTCTTTTCCATGATTTTTCTGCATGAAGCCTTGGGTGACAATTGTCTTTCCCTTTCCCTTTTCCCGACTCAGCTCAGAAGCCTCGCTTGCATTTTAGCTTTCTTCCACGAATCATCTCTGTCTTCTACTACACTTTTGCTTATCACATCCATTTGCACTTTCTTTTTCAAAAGTAAGTTTAGTTTGAGACCTTTTTCCAGGTGTAAAGATCAATTAAATGCAGTGCAATCAGAACACGTGAATGTGAGTCCCTACTGCATCGCCGCTTGGTTTGTGACCTTAGGTAGGTGTGAATCTCAGCAGCCCAGCCTTAAAACACAAATCATCTCCACCAAGTTAATACTCATTTGAAAGAAACTTGCAGTAAACATTTCTTGAGCTTTTTTGTGTATGCCAGCTAATGCTGCTCTTTAAAATAATACTTCATTATTATCTTCTAGGTAGAGCTTGTTCTACCTAAAATACATCTGACCTCTTCTAGATGATCCCTTCTTATAAATACCTGTCAATTTTATTATCATCTCCCCAGAAAGGTCTTTTCTAATAACCAATCTGAAGTAGTTTCCCAGGAACACCACACATTTTTTAACATAATACTTCGCAATAAGTGCTATTTTGTTTCCTTTTCTCCATTAACTCTCTATTCCCAAATTGAAGACACTATGAGCATGAATGTCTGACCTGTTTTATTTTTCACTATATTCTCAGCATCTAGAAGAGTATCAGGAATATAGTAGAACCTCAATAAATATGTATTGCAAGGCCGGGTGCCATGGCTCATGCCCTGTAATCCTAGCACTTTGGGATTACAAGTGAGGTGGGCAGATTTCATGAACCCAGAAGTTTGAGACCAGACTGGGCAACATGGCAACACTCTGTCTCTATGAAAAATAATAATAATAAAGTTAGCTGGGCATGGTGACAAGCACCTGTAGTCCCAACTACTCAGGAGGCTGAGGTGAGAGGATTGTTTGAGCCCAAGAAGTTAAGGCTGCAGTAAGCCGAGATCACATCACTGCAGTCCAGCCTGGGTGACAGGAGTGCGAACCTATCTCATAAAACAAACAAACAAAAAAACACCTACAAATATGTATTGCATGAAAGAGAGAGAAATGCTAATATACCATACAAATTAATATAAATCTAAGAAGTCCACAAATGGTCAGTAATTTAGAACCTGTGGTCCAATTACTCTTGCGGATGGACTTCAAACTTTTGTAGTGAATACTATTCAACACCTCTAATCCATGACTTACTGAAGTTTAGTAAGCACTGATGTCTGGTGTCAAGGAACATTGCTTTTTCTTCCTACCACCTTTAGCACCTGGCACAGAATCTGGCATGGTGAGCGCTCAATAATTATTCTTTGAAAAGTAATCTGCAGAGTTTCCCATAGAATTGGACACAGAGAAGGAGTTCTTGTGAGAGTTCTGGCGAGGTCTGAGCAGTCTGACAACATCCTGACAGTCCATTACAGTAACCAGATGGGACCTGCACATCAGCACCCGGGCTAGGGAGCCAGCACATCCATGAACGAGTCGATTGTTTTAGCTCTGTGATTACTAGACAGCATATGCTCGGCAGGCAATGGAAACAGATTAATCACATGAAACTAAGCAGGGTGTCTTATAGCAAAAGTTAATTTATTAGGATGTCCACATGCTTTCCAAGTATTTCTATTTTCTTAATTTCAAGTATTAAATAAGAATTAAAAGACTGATGATTTTGTTTTACAAATAATTTGATTTTAAGTGAGAAGGTTATTTATTCTTTTCTTTTCCCACTATGTAATAGACTTCTTAGAAGCTAAAGCATTAGACAGAAATGTCTTACTCAGCCATAGAGTAAGTTAATAGAACTGGAGTCAGAACATCATTCTGATTTATAATAGTATTTTTGCTTATACTTAATATCAAACAAGCAAGTGTAGAGTCCTCATGTATCAAAACTCTTGTTCTAGACTTCCTTAAAGAAAGGGAAATAACAAAGCTCTTTTTATGTTAGACAAAGAAGGGTGTTTAAATATTCCACTGGAAATTATTATATGTAAAATTATAAATTCATTTAGGTTAGTTATTTTCACAATATAAATGCTCAAACATAAAGGTGTAGCATTATGGATTTCAAGTAATCTTTACAATTACATGCAAAAAGAAAGAAGAAAGAGAAAGAAAGAAACGAAAAGAGAAAAGGAAAGAAAGAAAGAGAGAGAGAAAGGAAGGAAGGAAGGAGAGAAAGAGAAAGAGAGAGAAAGAGAGAGGGAGAGAGGGAGGGAGGGAAAGAAGGAAGGAAGGAGGGAAGGAAGGAAGGAAGGAGGGAAGGAAGGAAGGAAGGAAAGAAGGAAGGAAGGAAGAGAAGGAGGGAGGGAGGGAAGGAAGGGAAGGAAGGAGAAAGAGAGAAAGAAAGCCAACAAATAAATGCTTGAATAATATAGACACAAAAGCAGTACTCAGCTTGGTAAGCCATACGTCATTCTCTTTGTGACCCTTTGCTTGCATCCTGGTTTAGAGACTTGTTCCATCCCTGCAGGTTTGAACCGCTTCCAAAATAAGTAACATTTTCATATGGAAGGATCCCAACAATTCATTAACTCAAAAGTCCAACTAAGTAACATAACCAAACAGAGAGTATTGCATATTTTTTTTTACCATCAACTATGACTCCATTAAAAAAAAAAGAGTGAGAAAGAGGGAGGGGAAGACTTTCAGCTTGTATACATTATTCTTGAAGTTTACATAGAGAGGGCTCTGGATTTTATATGAATTATTACTAGGACTACTTAAGGCTGGCTGAAGTAGAGAATGTTCACTTGTAGTCAAACTGACAGTTACTATGTCGTTTCGAATAATTTGTTTAGAAACCGTGGGTCCTTAAACCATATTGTACAAATGTCAAACACATTCATTATTATAATGTCTACACTGAACAGGCTTCTAATGCATCACTTGTAAATGAATGATAAATAGATATAAATGTCTATTCACAGTTGGCCACCTTTCCGAAGGACTATTAAAGTTCTTCTTTTATATACTTTCTCTGACTCAGGAGATAGAGTAGGATGTTAAGGGCTGGGGCAGGAAAATGCAGCTCCCTTAATTTAAACTATGAGAAATCTACATACAATCACTTCTGGCCTTTTGGCTAAGATCAAGTGAAAAATCTGCATACAGAATAGACAATAGACTCTTTTCTGCTCCATTTCTCAAACATATTTTTCCCCATTCGAACTGAACAACAAGGAAACAACAAACCCCAAGTTCCAAATTTAAATGCAAACATTTTAGATTAACCAGTTAACATTAATCCAAATTTTACTCATCCGTCTTGTACTAGTTCAAAACCATGAACAACATGTAGTTGTTTTCCTCTCTCTGTATTTCTACCATATGTGATCTGTCTCATTATTTTGGACATTTAAAATTTTCTAACTTTCCTTGTAACTGTATTATGCCTTGTCTCCCTAACTAAGATTAGAGCAATGACAAGATCTGAGTTTTATATTCTATTACAATATGCTTAGTGCTAATAATAGATACTCAATGGATTTTTGTTGAACTAAATGAAAAAGAAATGCTGGCTCAAGTAGAAGGGCAAAAGAAAAAAATATTCAAAGTGTAGTCACTTATAAAGTATCCCAAGTTTTATTTCTATAATGCATATAAGTTGTTTCGGCTGCAGAGACTGACAAAACCAAACCAATAAAAGTGGCATTATTTTATGTATAATTACACTAAGATATATATTAAATGATGCTTAAGTCATATTTAGTTATTTGATTTTTTAAAAAATATGTTTTCTGTACATTAACTATTTAGTGAATAATGCTAAATACTATGACTATAGAATAACATATTATGTAAGTCTTTGAACCAAGTTATAAGACACTCTTTCTTATCAATGTCACACCCCTAAAACAGTCAAAATACTAAAGGGAGAAAACTTATATGTTTTCAACATAATTAAAGAGATTTGCAGCAGACCAGATTTCATGAAGTTTATATTAAATCATGAATCGAGAAAACTTTTGCAGAGGCAAATAAACTCTTGTACAAGCAAAATAATTATTTATGAGGATTAGCAGATTTTTCAATTTTTACTACACAAGATGAAAAAAATACTGGAAACAAATACTTTCCAAGGCTATCTACTGAAAGAAAAATAAATTCTTCCAGATAATTTTCTTGTAGAACTAGCTAATCTTTGTAAGTCTTTCCAAATAGGCAATATATATACCTCTTTTTGTTTGGCTGAGAAAACTTTTATGTTTCCCTTGGGTTACCTTTGTTAAATTGAAAAAGAAAAAATCAGTCTTCTAAGTCAATTAATTTTTAAAGAAAGTTTGTTTTCTGTTCCCTCTGTAAGTGTAGTATTCAAAGTGTTTCGTTCCTAAATATTCCTTCAACTTGAGGTGACTGATATCAGCAACTTATAGTTACCCTCCTTTCCTTGCAAGTTTGAGAGTTGAAACTAATATATTTCTGGCCAACGAGATGAAAGAGAGGGTTTTGCAAAGTTTTTTTGCTCCTAAAAAAGAGATATAAGTGATGATCTATTGTTCCATTTGTATTTCTTTGTCTGGATGTGACCCATGAAGACTGTGGCAGCCATCTTGCTACCAACCTAAAGATAATGCCAATCCCAAGAGTGGCCGACAGAGAAAGAACCGGGTCCTCGATAACATCATTAAGCAGATGATATTTTCATCTTTGTAGTCACTCAAACTCTGAACATATTCATATTATATAACAAATTTTCTTATTTTTAAGCCAAATTCAGGTGTCTTTTATTCTGTTAGCTATCTATTCCACGCTAATTGATAAAAGTAATATAGTGGTTTCTTACTCAAAAAAGGAAAACTAACAAAATCACAAATTCAAAATTTAAAGAAACACACTACTTAGTGTATTTTATGTATCAGACATTGTGCAATGCACTAAAAGAGAATCAGAAGTGCATAAAAATCATCCCCTTATTCAAGGAATGTATAATGTGGATGAAGGCATACTGACACAAATGAATACTGACAACACTATCAGCTAGGACATCTGACATTGGCATAAATATATAAAATGCTCCTGTAAACGTGAAGAACACTTAAATTTCCCGAGGGTGAGGTGAAGCCTTGGAGAGCAAAAGGTGAAAAAAATATAATTCGATAAAGCCTTTCAAGAATGAAGAGCAGTGAAATGAGCAAGAAAGTGAAATCCAGGAAGTTTTAGAAAAGACACAGAACTTGATAGTAAATTATCTATTTTATGAAGAATAAACAGGGTGCTTTGAGTAAAGGAGAAAGAGAGGGTGGGGAGAGAGAAGCAGAAAATAGAGTGCATGTGAGAGAACAATGAATAGTTAACAGTGAGACTGGAAACAGGGTTGCAATGGGCTAGGAAGAGCCTTAGAAGTCAATACTAAGAAGCCTGGAGTTTATTCAAGTTCCTAAGAAAAACTGCCAGAGTTGTACAAGTGAGTGAGATACATTCAGACTTTTAATTTTGTGACGATAACTCTTACCGTTGTGGTGAACAGATTAGATAGGAGAAAAGGATAAACTAAGTTAAAAATGGTATTATCACTCACACTAGAAAAATATATTGAAATATTTGCCACATTATCAGCTTGGCCTGTCAGCTGAGGCTTTTGCTGGGGCTACGTCACAGCTCAATTCTCCCTTTGCCTAATACTGCTTCCTAGCTTTCCTCCCACTGGGCTGATTCCAAGAACACTCACTTATGAGCTAATCTTCATCTCAGAGTTGGCTTCTGGAGAAACTGAACCTACAACAAAAGTGTCATAACTGGTAAATACAGTTCTTGATCCATGTCCTTCTCTTACAATGTGATCACTTCTGGTTCTGATTGTTCCATTTTGATCTAGTGTTGGGGGAATGGACTGTCAAATCAATGGGCATCATCTTTCCAGACCCCGTCCCAGAGAAGGAGTCCACGAGTATTCCCTAGCCGAAGAGAGGCCTTACGGACCAACTTTGGAATCGTTAAGCTTCGGGATAGTTAAGTTGTGAGGTGTCACATCCTTGCAATGTGTGCTTATACTTGCTTTTAAGTCTAAGTCCCTATAGAAATAGTCCTTCCTCTCAAAAAAATTTTCAAAAAAGACAAAAGGTCATAATATCATCCATCTTCTTTTAATACCAGAGAATTTAAAAAACAAAGAAATAAAAAACAACTCAGTCTACTTAATTTTTATTTTCTAGATAGTGGAAATGTTCCCCAAAAATCTAATTAATTTTGACTTTCTTCCTCTGCAATCATTTATTTGTCAAATATTTACTAATTATATACCTGCGCTATTCACTCTAGTAGACTCAAAATCTAGTCTAAACAAGAGTAAAGATAGTAAAAAGATATTATTAAATGATTATTACAAAATGAATTTTGTGAAGGATTTTGCTATAATTTCTGGTGATTCTGCACTAAATGCCCATGGCAAATATGAATGATAATGGCCTTTTTTTCAGTAGGCACAGCCTTGTTTGTACAAAACCTCCAAGTTCACATATATTGCAAATTTTGCTAACTTCAATTGAGTATTTTCTACAGATTTTTTTTTTAACTTTCCAAGGGAAAAAAAAATCCCAACCAGTCACTGATAACTCAATTATATGTTGTAGATTGCTTTAACCCTAAAGAGTACAAAGGACAGCCTTCAGCCCCTCAGAGTCCCAACATGTGTGGTTTCCTCCGCAAAAGAGTTTGGATCTTTGCCGAGGGGCACTGAGCCAATGAAAACCAAGTGGGTCTAAACCTAAAGTACTGCATTTTGACACTTATGTGCTACTGTGGAGTATCTTTAGCAATAGAGTGATTTATATAAATTGGAATGGTGGATACCTATATAACATAAATTATTACCTTTGCATACATAATCCCCTTATGAATTATACATTTTATAGAGATATAAAGAAATATCAGTTATGTAGATAACATCTAATTTCATAATGTATTCAAACAACTTTATTTTAATAATATCATAAGATAAATTGATACTTCATAAACATTTACTTTTTAAAATATTAGCACATTTCATGCATGGAACATCGCCAAAGAGAGATTTGCTTAAAATAGTCACAGCAGGAAGTTATAAGAATTTATTTTAAGCAATGATCTAATACACTCAGTTCAGATAAAGGGAATTTTTCTTCCAATCCCTGAAGGCAGAGAACAGAACAAGAACAAATTCCCTTAAAAGTATGAATTGCTTTTTGCTAGTATGGTAAAACTGAGACATATTTGGAAAAAATGCCTTTTAAGCTATGCAGCATCTCTTAAAGCAAAATTGCAAAGTTAGCTAAGATTTTTTTCCTTGGCCACTTTCATAAAACACGTCATCCCCTGCTAAGATATTTACTGAAAATTAAGATGTTACTTGATGCCATCAATTGGCTCGTACTAGGAGTATGAGTATTTTTAAAAGAAATTCCTGAAGAAAAAAATACAGCCTTAAGAAAAAAATGGAATGGAGCTATAATTTTAGATTAGAATGGAGGACAAACTTTCAAATTCTAGTACATAATCAACTGCTTATTTTATTTTATGTTAAACAATATCCAGGCTACCAGATACTTTAATTTTTTTAAAGATAATCATATGAGGTTTTTAGTGTGTTTGGATTAACAGAAGTCAAAAACAATTGCTAGCAGTATTTTAGCCCTCATTTTTTCATCCAAAAACACAGATTACATGAAATGTATGTGTATACATTTGCAGAAATAATTTCTTTATTAAGTATGAGCCTTTATAAGAAATAACTCCTTTTCCTTTGGTAGGCCTTAAAAATGTGTGAAAGAATTACTTAAAAGTTAATTGACTAAAAACCAAATATCATTGTTCTATTTCAGAAGTGAAGTAATATTACTACATATGAAGATAAATATTTTGTGTAGACTAAAGCCCTGAGAACAAATAATTCTAAAATAATTGAACAACTGATATTTGGCTATTAAATCTCACAATTAGAGGGTTAAAGTGGTCATTGTAGATTAATACTGTATGTAGCTTCAAAGTCCAAAGTCCTAGGATGGCCTATAAATAATTCTCTTTGAAGAAGAAGAACTCAATATTGGTAACTATTGGATTTAAACCGTGCAACTGCTCCTAATCTTTTTTTTCAATACTTCTGACAAAGATGGGTTAAAAAGACAATAGAAGATGTTTCAAAGATGCAGAAGAGATCTGATATTATGTAATCTTATCAGCCACTCGATCTCTGCCAGTCTTAGCATCTATCTCTGCTTGCATAGATATTGATATTTGCTAAAGTACTAGTTAATAGACAATGTCTAAAGTGTGGCACCCTTTCCTCCGGGTTTCACACTGGTGGTTGAAAATGTAGGACATAGTAGTAATTGCCTTAAGAATTTTAAAGTACTAGTGTATGTTTCTTTGTCATGGTGAGATTGTCTTAATGAACCCATAGTTGGGGAATTATTTATCTTTACTTGCTGAGAGTGATTGACTTGTAGGAGAAACCTGTTCAGATGTGAAATGAGAGTTTGGAAAAAGCAGTATGGTGTTTGTTATTATAGCCACATTATCATTTGAAAGTATGCTTATTTGTGAACTGAAAGTTAATAAAATTTAATTTTACAACTATTGTTAGGATATAAATATTCATTCTTGATGTATAACTAATTTGTCATTTCTTCAGTCTCAAACTTTCCATTTCTATTATATGGCCTAGTGTATATTAACTAATTTTTTATGTTTTCATTTATATTTTCAAAGCTTTTATTATATTTATTCACTCTAAATAAAGAACATGCATATGTACTTAAATCCATAAAAATCCAGAATGTGTATCAGAGGCAATATATTCTTTATGCTGCTTTTTGACATGTATGTGATGCACTGCATTTGACACTGTGTCCCTTAAAACAAAGCAAAACAAAACGGGAGAAGAAGAGAGATGAAAATAAATGAATTTAACCAAATGTATATATAAATATACTGACCTTCTTAAAATTTTTGTTTAAGTCAACCAGACTGAGTAGAAAGATGTGGTCTTTGGCTCCCAAGAGCAGCCTGCCTCTTTCCTCATCTAAGAGAAGAGTTTGAAAATCCAGTCCTTCTGATGAACCCAAAAAGGGAATACAGCTATTTGAAAGCAGCAAGTCTATGGAAAGCAAAAAAAGAAAAGAAAGGAGAAAGAAAAAAGAAAGAAAGAAAGAGAAAGAAAGGAGAGAAAGAAGAAAGAAAAAGAAAGGAAAGAGAGAAAAGGAAAGAAAAAGAAAGAAAGAAAAAAGAAAGAAAGAAAGAGAAAGAAAGAAAGAATTAGTAATAGGCAAAATATTTACTTGCCTAAATATACATATTGTCCCACTTTGTAAATGAATACATACAGCATAAAAGGGCCAATATAGCTATATGTAATTACAGTTTTCAACGTAATTATTTAGAAATAGATGTAATATATTATATTTGTACCTTAACACAATATTTATGTGTGAAAAACACACAGTATTAAAATGAATAAAAAACATGTAAATATACAAAAAATTAAATACGAAATATTTTACAACCCTGTGTTCACATTCTTAAATTATCATTTAAAGCATCTATATATATTAATATTTGCAAATCTATAAAATTAATTAATGTATACAAAGTAAACATCAAATCAAGTGTATCATAAATCTCTTAGCATTTTTTTCTACTTTTTAAAAAATACACTTTTTTTGGAGCGGTTTTAGGCTTATAGCAAAACTGAGAGGGAGATACAGAAATTTCCTGTATACTTCTTGCCCCACACATTCATAGCTTCTCCCATCATCAGCATCCCCCACCTCAGTGTTATAATTATTACAATCAATAAACCTACACTGGCACATATTAATCTTCCAAACTTTATAGTTTAGGGTTTAATTTTGGTGTTGTATATTTTATATATTTCAACAAAGGAATGATGACAAGTATCAACCATTGTAGTATCATATAGACTACTTCCACTGCCTTAAAAATTGTCTGTGCTCCACCTATTCATCCTTCTCCCCCACCCCTCCCCGTGGCAATCACTAATTTTTTTACTGTCTCCAAAGTTTAGCTTGTTATAGGATGTCACATAGTTTAAACCATACATATGTTGCCTTTGCAGATTGGCTTCTTTCACTTAGTAATATGCATTTAAGTTTGCTCCATGTTTTCATGGCTTGATAGCTCATCCTTTATTAGTGCTAATATTTTGTTGTCTGGATGTACCACAGTTTATTTAAATTTTCACCTACTGAAGGACATCTTCGTTGTTTCCAAGTTTTGGCAAGTATGAATAAAGCAGCCATAAACACCTGTGTGGAGGTTTTTGTGTGGACATAGTGATATGGTTTGGCTGTGTCCCCACCCAAATCTTATCTTGAACTGTAGCTTCCATGATTCCCAAATGTTGTGGGAGGGACCCGGTGGGAGATCATTGAATCATGGGGGTGGTTTCCCCATACTGTTCTCATGGTAGTGAATAAGTCTCATGAGAGCTGATGGTTTTATAAGGGGAAACCCCTTTCACTTGGCTCTCATTCTCTCTTGTCTGCCACCATGTAAGACAGGACTTTTGCCCTCTGCCATGATTGCGAGGCCTCAGCCATGTGGAACTGTGAGTCCATTATACTTCATTTTCTTTATAAATTACCTAATCTCAGGTATGTCTTTATCAGCAGTGTCAAAATGGACTAATACACATAGTTTTCAACTTTGTTGAGTAAATATTATACTAAGGAGCATGACTGTTGGGTCTTCTGTTTAGATTTGTGAGAAACTGCCAAATTGCCTTCCAAAGTGTCTATACCACTTTGCATTTCCACTAGCAATGAATCAGAATTTTTATTGCTCCCTATCTTCATTAGCATTTGGTGGTATCAGTGTTTTCGATTTTGGCCATTCCAATAGGTGTGTAGCAGTATCTTATTGTTTCAATTTGTATTTTGTTGATGCCATATGATATGGAGAATCTTTTCATACGCTTATTTGCCATCTGTATATCTTCCTTGGTGAGATGTCTGTTAAGGCCTTTTGTCCATTTTTAAAAATTAGGTTGTTAGTTTTCTTATCATTGAATTTCAATAGTTCTTTGTATATTTTGGATTATAGTCTTTCATCAGATATATCTTTTGCAAATATTATCTCCAGTCTGCAGCTTGTCTTTCGCCCATCCTAATTTTGATAGTATTTAGATTGATGCCTGTGTTTGGAGAATTGAAGTTTTTCTATTTCATATGTGCAGAAAGATGTAAAGAAAGAAACTGAATCCCAGAAAATGTACTCTGAAAGAGATATGACCCTGAACCAGTAATCCAGTAATGATATCAAAAATTTAATGCTAGAATAGACCTTGAAATTAAATTAATGCAAATGCATAGTTATACAAATGAAGCTCTTTAATCCTTTTCAGGTGAAGTCACATGCCCTAAAGTTACAAAACTACGTAGCAGCAAAGTTGATAATTGAATTGGAGTCTTCAGTGTTGATTTTTCTTTTTTTTTTTTTGACACTTCTCTTTAGGTCCCAATTCTTTGTTTTATTTATAATTGTGATATGCACAGACTCCTATAAGTTATCCAAATCCTTTCACTAGATTTTACCTCAAGTACTTACGATATTATCTTATTTTTTAAATCCTAGAATACTGAATGCTAATAAGGTAATAATATTCATCATTTTATTAAAGCCCATTATATGCTATCTGACTTTTAACCAATTCATTATTTAAAAGTAGCCTATTATTAATTGATGAGAAAGATAAAAAGAGATAATGTCTAGGATATAGGCACTAAGGTAATTCTAAAAAGTATCATGGCAGTTCTAACCTCTGTAAAAATGATATTTGAGTCCCTTAAATATAATGGCCATATATTCCGTCTATCAACAATGGGCTTTATTATTATTTCATATTTTTTAGCATTTCCTTCCTTCTTTTTTTCTACTTTATAACGGTTAAATGTTATTTCTCTTAGTTTCTAAGCTGGGTTTTATCTTAGTTTTTTACAAAGCAAAAGGCAGTATGCTGAAGAAGACATGATATTTGAAATCTCAAATGAGCGTGACTTTACTGAACATAAATGTCTTACTAACATTTATGGATCATGCTTTGTGTATTGGATAGAAGTCTGAAATTGATACTAATTATTTTTCTATTAAGCTAAATACAACTTCAATCATTTTTCAGACTAGAGACCCAATGGTGTAATATATTTTAGCAGTTCCGAATGCAGGGATAATATCCAACAAATACGCCATACTGATTGTAAAGTAGAACTGAGAAGAATGGAACCAAGATAAAAGGTAAACAAATATAATCTAAAGCCTTAACAAGATAATGCATTTCACACAAACCTTATTTCAATCAGGCAATTCTATGTCTTCCATGCAATTTCCCTTATTTAACTAAGACTGAAATCAGCAAAATCAAAAATATGTAAAAGCATTCCCAGGGGTTTATTTTGACCCAACTAGTAGAGTAAGTAGTTTATACAATCGAAATCCTTATTGTTTCAAGTGCCTATGAATAATATTCAATTATTTTGAACCATGCATTGCATTGTTAATTACAAAATGAAATATTACTTCTCATAATGAGTAAGAATATGAATTTTAGGTTCAGGCCACCAGGGCATTATCCTGCCTCCCAACTCACTGGCTATGCAATCTAGAATGAGTCACTTAACCTCTCTGTGTCTCAGTTTCCTCATCTGTAAAGTGAGGATAAAACCGGAAATGATGTGATAAGCCATGTTGGTGTGAGGAATAAACGAGTTAATGCATGATCAGCATTATGAATAGTGTCTGGCACATAGTAAGTGCTATGTATCTATCAGTCATTATAATAACAATGATGTATTTTTAAAAGTCTATACCAAATGTATAAAAAGGAAATCATAATATTTCCCAACTCATATAGTTCTCATGATGATTCAAGGAGGTAATTTATATAAAGTTCTTAGAACCATGCTTGGTAGATAGGAAAAGTCAATAAATATTGTTTTGAGTATGATTATTAAACTCTACTTTGGGCCAAATAAGATATATTTAAAAAGCATGTATCTTATCTTCCATTAAATCAGAATTAGTAAGATAAGAACATCTCTGCATTTTTTATGATAATGGAATAATATTAAAATGCTATTAAATCCACAAATATTTATAAGCATTTAGTGTGTATTAAGTGTTGAGTATGGGGTTAAGGTCGTGAGATTAGTGAGCCTTGTCTGCAAGGGGCTCACAGATCAGTGTGGAACCAGTTATGTATATAAAACACAACATACGTGAAATAAATTCTAATAGAAGTATATATAAAATGTTAAACCTTTCAAATAATTAATTATACATCACCTTCTAAAAGGAGGTGATATTTGAGCACAGCCTTGAAAGACAGATAGAATTTTGAGAGGAAACACATAAAGAAAAATTTGTTCCAGGCAGAATGAACACTAGGCTGTACAGGAACACATGTTACTCCAGGTTGCACGTACATACTGCACTTCTACTATGTCTCCTACTCTGGAGTGTGACCTGTGTCAGGGCAAAGACCATGGTGTAATTATTTTGGAATTCCCAGCACCTAGCTCAGAGTCTGAGACAAATTCAGTGCTTAATAATTGTTTGTATGACTGAGGAAATGTGCTCTGCTGAAATATAGGGACTATGTTGGGTGGAAATAAGTGAGACTAGACATAAAGCCAGCATCTAGATGATTACAGCCTATGATGGCAGGTTGAAGATTTTGGTTATTATGCAGGTGATTTGAAGCTACTAAAATGTTTTATTCAGAAAAGTGGCAACAACTATAGCTGAGTGTTACAAAGATAAGTCTGGCTAAATTATCCAAGTGGATGAGAATGGGGAAAGGTGGGGTCAGGAAGACTATCCAGAGGTTCTGAAACATGGTGAATCCCTGAATTACGGCAATGAGAGGAGGAAAATGTTTAAGAGCTGTTTATGTCATTTTTTTGTCTTTACTTACACAGTGAGAAAAATAAATATAAAGTTGATATAGCCACTTGCTTTATTTTCTTTCATCATAACCAATTCTATGGGGTTTAGTTTCAAACCAACTTTACAAGAAAAAACAGCTGAAAAAACAGTGACTAACCTGGGGTATTATCATTTCCAAATGATTTAACATTGCCCTGTGACAATGCTAGCAGCAAAACGATTAAACATCCTTCAACAATTCATTGTAGCCAAATTAAATAATTAGATTTAGGCATTACATATTAAAATTTCTTAGGCTGACACACACATTATGAAAAGACTTTGGGACAGGGATTGGAACAAGTTCCCTCTTTTCCAACCAGCTTATCTTTCTTGTATTTCTGCCAAACCAAGCAAAGTCATTTTTGTTTCCACAGGATTATCAACCAAAACAGAAAAAAAATTGGTAATTTTAGAGCCTGTATCTTAACACGTAAAGCTAAGACACTCAGTGGATTTCATAAATCAGAAATGGATGCTGGCTCTGCTGGGTTCAAACTCATCAAAGTTGAATAATAATAATTTGGCAATACACTTCAGAGCTTTTTAAAAAAAATTCTAAACTGGAAATTCTTGGGCATGCGATTTTTGAGATTGTCCATAGTTTTAAAGCTTTTTGGACAGGAACTTTGTTTTTTTATTTTTCCCCTTGGGTAAAAGGGTGAGTGTGTTGCTTCACACGTGCCATTGAGAGGAGGCCAGCTCTGTGCTTGGTTAAACAGCCCCACCCTTCCTCGGGATGTCAGCAGCACTTACCTCTAGGTCCTAAATGACTCCTTTGTTTTATCTCCCTAAACCTTTGACCTAATCCACCATAATTCTTCTTTTTCACTGTTCCTTTTAGCAGTGCATTCTCCTATTACCTTGTTCCCAGTTTCTAATCTTAATCACCCAGATGTTCAAATTCCCACTTTTGTTCTAGCAACACAGTTTTGGAAAAAACTACAATCTCATTATTTCCAAAATTAATGAAGCAAGGACACGATTTTTTATTTATCTACTTGCTTAAATATAGAAATCATTGCATATTACAAATTTTGATGGATGGATGACACAGAGAAGATGTTCTTGACCCAGTACCAGTAAACCACCATGGGACAATGAAATGGTTCCGAGGATCGAATTTCATATAAACAACATGAAATTTTCACGTTTGTATGTATGTGTGCATTTTTTGAAGAGTTTCTTCATTTGTCTTTATTAACACCTCTTGATATCTTACCAGAAGTCACAGGGAGAAATATATGTTTTCCACATGTAGTTAGTAATCATATTTAAAATAATTTCCAATTGCTAGCACAAGAAAGTGAGTCACTACCCTCCCAAAATGTGACTTTTGCAGGCAATGACTGACTCATCTAAGAATACCAGGTATCTGCACATGCTGGAAAGACATTGATTACAAGTTTGACACACTCCTGTCCTCATGGAACTCACAGCCTAGTGGAGAGAAAATGTTCATCCACAACAAAAATGAAAATATACTTGTGACAAAGGACAACCATATAACATAGTAGACCATTAAGTATCTCTAATAGTAAAATGGAAATATCTTTTTATCTATATTTCCTTTAGCAAGCCTAATAAAATGAATCTCCTAATTGATAGCCAGATGCTCTGCTATTTAAGGGGAAGGATAAGGATTAGGTAATCTCTGCTCTTATTTGAAATAGTTTTGTTCTAAAAATAATTCTTTGTATCTCCCTTTTAGTGTCCCTTAATACAATTGTTCATTCAGCCTGGGGAAACATTTGACCCGATGGTCTATATTCTTCCTCTTCACCCCAGAAAGGAAGGGAGTGGTGAGTCATATTGAATCTAATAAATTTAGGATTAAGCAACACAGACTTCCTCAGTATTTGAGTGTTAAATGAACAAGATCCTATAACCTTGAAATCTTGCATTTATTGCCAGAGATCCCGAACTGGGTGGAGTTGTCAGTTTCTCTCACGAGAAGACTACATAGATTAAAAAAAAAAGAAAAGAAAAGAAAAGAAAAAAAATGCTTCCCACATCCTTTAAAGAACATTTTATGAAAGACAGAAATTCATGGGGCTAAAAAGAAAATCAGCTTTGGAGAAGCTTAACTTCCAATGTATTCCAATCTAGGGAGTAAAATTCCTCAGCAGAGAAACTTCACAACTAAAAATAGATCCAGATCAAAATACAGTCACCTTTCCCTGCCATCTCAGGATATTCAGCACAAATTATTGCCCTGCCCACTTTTCTTTTTCCTTCAGGAAATAGCAGTTTTATCAGTAGGGCTATTCTCATGTTTCTTTAGTATAGTCAGATCTCCAATGTATTCTCTACAAAGCTGTGTAAGTAAAAACGTTTCTCTTTAAGCCTTTCAGCATCCTTTCTATTTCTGCCTTCCCCCTAAATTCAGCATTTCTCCTCTGATCTCTAAAGTTCCAGGGCTTTTTATGCTGAGTTAGTATCAGAGCATCATTTCTATGGAGTGCCTTCAAAGCTTCTGCCCATAACTTCCAGAAATACTACAGCTTTTTGTCCAAGGCAAGGCATGGATTCTCTCTTAGATTTAACATTGGGAAAATTAGCTCATCTTAACTTGGCATCAGCTGACCTCCAATATGCTTTCTGAGGCTTGAGATCATGTGAAAACGTTCTGTTTATCAAGATAACTCATAATTCCCCTTTAGCAACACAAAAATACCTATGATTCTCCACTGTGTACATTTAGTCTCTAAAGCTAATTGTTCAAAGCATATAAAGAAAAAATATTAGTCAAATCTAAAAGCCCTACAAAAGACTGCTTCAAAATTGCAGGTGAATATTATGTTATTATTATGCTCTCTTAGATATCATTAAGCTATCCACACTAACCATTATTTCCTTGCAAATGCAAGTCCAAATCAGAAAGAACACAAACAAATCAAATTCTCTTGCTTTTCTGTGATGGAATGTTATAGATCATTCTGTTCATTGGTCTTAGAACATTACCTATATCAATAATAAAACAGATGATATCACATAGGGAAACATAAATTAGAAACAAATTAAGCTTATTATGTCATGGGGTCTGTGTTCTTGCCAAGACAGGTTGTGGAGTAGGAGTGTGGCAATTACTCATGGTCACATTTCTATCACATCCATACTTTTAAATTACATTTTGTTCTTATTTGGCCAGCTTTCAATAGTGGATGCTTTATATAATCCATCATTGTGAGATTTATCATTTATAGTTACGGAGTAAATTCATACTTTGAATGAGTCCTTTTAAATTTTCAAAAGCTTTGCTGGGATCTTTTTTCCTATTGACCTGTAAAAAAGTTAGTATTATAAATATCTAGTACATTTCCAGAAAAGCAATGTCACGATGGAATAAACTTCCTGGAAAAAAGTTGAGAGTATCATTCTGAGCACGATTGATACTACTTTTACAATTGCTTCATAGCTTCCTTCAAGTTATTCAGAATTTCTCCTTCTTCAAGTTACAAAGAATGTTTAAAATTAAACGCCATGTCACACATATTTGGTATTTGTTTCAATCAAGTATATAAATTTAATGTAGAAAACATCGGAAGGTCTTAACTTAATACAACATCTATTATTGACTCCAAGTAATAGACAAATACGACAATATGACAAGACAAATAATTCCTCAAACTAAGATCACTATAAATTAAGGAATAAAGCAAAAAGTTATGTGTGTAATATAAAACAGATAACATTATTTTATAACAATATTGTTTTATAAAATTAATTCTATTAAAATCAAGTATATGTATATCAAAAAATAATGTTAAAAGGCATATGTGAAACTTCTCAATTGTGACAGTCACAGCTGAGATGTCTCATGCCATCTGTAGTAGTCTGTCCTCAAACTGCTGTGAAGAAATACCCGAGTCTGGGCAATTTATAAAGAAAAACTGGTTTAATTAACTCACAGTTCCGTATGGCTGGGGAGGCCTCAGGAAACTTACAATCATGGTGGAAGCCACCTCTTCACAGGGCAGCAGGATGAAAAATGAGTGCAAGCAGGGGAAATGCCAGATGCTTATAAAACCATCAGACCTCATGACAACTCACTCACTAAGAGGAGAAAAGCATGGGGGAAACCGCCCTCATGATTCAATTACCTCCCACCAGATCCCTCACAGGACACGTGGGGATTACGGGAACTACAATTCAAGGTGAGGTTTGGGTGGCAACACAGTCACACCATATCACCATTTGTATTTCCAAGACTTTGAATGTGTCTTCTCTTTTTCTTGGAAGCTGTTCAAATCACACCCTCTCTCGGTATTATGAAATTTAAAATAATTTGCCAGAATATATATATGTGTGTGTATATATGTGTAAAACTGATCATTGATCATTGCTCATACTGGGCACTCAGTGTGACATTTTATCTAAAATTCAATTTTCATAGATTCAAGAAAATTTCAGTTTGGCTTTTCATCTAAAACAAATAAATGTCAATCATCTGTGAGACTTTTCTCTAGGTTTTCTCCAGATGAAAGTTCTTAATCACTTGCCCAAGGAGCATCATCTGGTAAAGGTGTGCAGAGAATTTGCATCAGAACTTGCACATACACTTTCAAGAGGGAAATTTAAAAATATCATCATGTAATATTGTTCTCTTCGATTTCAGGTACTATTCAGCAGGTATAAGCAATGAGAAAATGCTTTCCATTTTTACATTATCTTCCTTAGTTTCTCTCCCATAAATTGTTAGTTCTCTGCTGATGACTTCAAAATACACACCCACAACCCCATCATCTCTCCCAAGTGTTGCAGTTTAGAATTTGCCACAGCTTGCTACGTATTGTCAATTTTTCCTCCAATCATCTGATCTCATTGATTTTAATGACTTCAATGAAATGATCTAATCCTCAGGCTCAACATTTCTGAATCACTTTTAGTTTTTCTTCCTTACTCTTCTTTCCTCTGTTTATATAATCCATCACTTTAAGTCTGTTTAACCCCCCTCACACAACATCCAGCTAAATTTAAAGCCTTATAGATTTTATCAAGCAAGTTTTCTATTCTCCGTTCTTGAATATATTTATTCCTACTGCCCGCCATATTACTACTTCTCTAAATTACTGTAACAGGTTCATAAATTATCTTTTGCTACACCTGCTCTCCCACCAGTCTCTCCCACGTGATGCTGCCTATTTCATTTTCCCCCAATCACAATTAAATTAGGTCAATTTCATGATGAAAATACTCCAATACCAACATATGCTTCATTGAATAAATTTTAAACTTCCTCCAGTGCTCAAAGTTCAATTTCATATCCAAATTCTTCTAAATAATTTTAAAATTTTGGTTTTATTTATACTATGGCACTGGTATTTTTGCAATTATTTTGTCTATTTATTTTGTCCCTTAAAAACACTAGAAGCCCTTGAAGATAAAAATAATGTCTAAATCATTTCTGTATTTCAACACCACCTCTTATACATAAGTCTAATAAAGCTTTAACTCACAGTATTTTAAACTACTGATTTTTGTTTGCCTTGGTTTATCTACCTTTGATCTAAATCAGGATTTATTGCCATCTTATTAATAATTTAGAGAAGTTAATGTGCTATTTAGAGACCCAATTGTGATAATGCTTTGCAGTCACAAGGGGTTCCTTTTCTAATCTTCATATTCTCACATGAATCATGGGAACCCTAGAACATTACTTTTCAGGGTGTAACATGCATTCGAGGATTCTTGTTGAAATACAGATGTTTTTGTTTAGAAGTCACAGAGTATGTCTGAGATTCTGCATTTCAAACAAGATTTCAGATTTTGCTGATACAACTGCAGCTTGAACCACACCTGGAGTAGAAAGGTTTAAAATACACTGTGCCCCTGTTATTCTCAGCTTGCCTGCATTAAAGAGCTGAATTCCTTCATTCTTCCTCACACTAGAATTTCTCTCAAACCTTTACCTCGTGGTGTGTGTTAATTTATGCAATGTGGCCACAGTATTTTTTTCTGTTACAATTCTAAATTGGTCAAATTTGTACATCTCTAACTAGCTTATTCCTTAATTGCTAGAAGTGATCAATGACCTGTTTAGTTTAAACCAATGATATATAAGCTTTTTCCCCTCAGCTTTTTTTTCATACAAAGAAGTGAAGTACAATAATTTAACATGCATTTACTTGAAAAAAAAAGGTGTCAAGATGAGGACGCATTGTAGACTTTCATTTCAAATATCTTTGCTGTTATCTGTGGTAGCAAAAATTCTACCCAAGATGCTCAACTACAATTATATTCTTAAATACCTTAAATTTTCTTCATATATTCCTTCAATTAATTAAAAACATGTATGGTCTGTCTTTGAAATCTGTCACAACCTCCATTTTGTGGTTTGTAACATCTGAGGAACTTTCCCATTTATTATTTAATTTGATCCCCAAGAAGAACTTAATTTCCAGATGAGAAAACCTAGACTCAGAAAGACAATTAATTATTCTAATGGTACATAGACTGTTCATGTGACAGAAAGAGCTCAAACCTATCTTTATCTTCTAATTCTAAGCCCCATCACCCATTACAGCTATATTTTATATTTTAATGTTTAGCATTACTTAGATAAACAAGATTCTTTTTCAAAAGGTCTCTACTTATATTTCCACTGAATATTCCGACAGGTTCACTTCTATTGCTTCTTCTACTTCACCACTCCATCGGGATTACTGAAGTATTTATCTTAATTTCCAAACTGTTTCTGGCTCACTGTGGCTTTAGTCAAATAAACCCCTTTATGACCATCTTTATAAATAAAAAGGACTTTCGTTCTAATTTATGCCTCTTTTGAATTAGTTGGATTAAAGCAGTATGTTTAAAGGATTATTACAAAAATGCAAACTGTATATTACTAGTTCTTAAGAAATCAGAGAAGTGTTTTTCAAATCTTCTGTTTAAAAAAGACCTAAGGACATTATTTTTAAAACTGTCATTGAATTTATATTCATACACATGTACGGAAAAATCTCACTGTGAAAATTCCTTTAATAAGGCTCAAGAAATTAGAGACAAATTTAGGGAAGTTGAATTATGAAATGAGCAGTTGCACATAAAAACTTTTGCTCCTCAATAGTTTATAGAATAGTAAACCAATTGCTTACAAGATCTATTCAAAAAGAGTTTTCCACCAAAACATAATTGACTGGATTTTATCCCAATAAAAATTGCCTTTAGACAAACCATGCCCTTTCTAAAATTATTTCCACATTTATGCAAAAACAAAGACACAACCCAAGTGCCTCAAGGCTGAGCTCTCTTTTACCCTGCTAGGAGAACATAGATGATCACTGTAGCCCTTAGTGATTTTTATGTATCTTCTTAATTCCAGGAAGGCTTCTTGTATGTTTGCATGGCAATAGTGCATCATATATTACCTTATATTATTTTGTCACTTCCACCACTCTGTGAAGCTCCATAGACCAATAATGTTTAGAGCAATGTTCCATATACAATGTTAAATGGATTGCAATTATTATCATATAAAGGGGTTGCATACAGGTAAGTTGTATTAATAATACAAACACAATTTTACTAAAAAAGAGTGGGCTTAGATCTGAACATCAGTTTTTTAAATTATCTACTTATGTGACCCTAGCATTATTATTTAATCTTTCTGGATTTCTGTTTCCAAATCTTTACATATTAATCTCCTAAACATATATAGTGCCTACAGCCTGTATCATATCATACTTAAACATTCCTCCTTGAAAACTTTTTTATGTTTAACCTAGCTTTCCTTCTAGATAACAGTTGCAACTGATAATGAACAAGATGCATTTATTATGCAAAATAAGCCACTTTTATTAATACATGTTCTAAATGTACCCTGTTTTTAGGAAAAATAATCTCATCAATACTGTCTTCAATAAGGTGTAGATTATCCGGCATGTCTCCTGTATTACCAATTATTCTTCTTCTAGATTATTTCAATTAAAATACAAATATGCTGTTATTTCTTGCATTAAAACAAGTCTCTTGATCTCTTTGCTTCTCCAGCTAATGCCTATATCACAATTGTCAAAAATTTCCTTAAGAGAATTATCTATAGTCAATGTCTCCAGTCCCATGCTCTCAAGAATCCATCTTAATCGGGCTTTGGCTGTCACACTCACATGCTGCTTTTATCAAAGTCAACAGTGAGGTCTGTTAAATTTAATGTTACTTTTTAGTTGTCATCTCTCTAGACATATTAGCTGACTTTGACACCACTGATTATCTCTTTCCTTTTACTTTTTTCATTTAACAACTTCTATACTAGAACTCCTAATTTTTCTCCTATATACCTGGGCATTCCTTTTCAGTTCACTTTGCAGTTAATTCTTCCTTTCTCTGATCTCCTGACTTGATAGTATACCAGAAGCCAATCTTTTGAATTCTGCTTCATCCCTTAATTATTTCACAGTCTTGTAGATTTAAAAATTTCTATATGTTAATGGCCAAACTCATATCTCCAATTGACATCTCCGTGAACTTCAGGGTTATATATGTACTCAAATGCCTTCTTGGCATCTCACTTAGGTGTCTAATACCCTTCTCAAATAAAATATGTCCACTTGATCTTCCCACAAAACGACTTCTTCCACAGTATTTCCCACTTTAATTAATGGTAGCTCCACCTGTAGACCACAACAAAACAAAACAAAACCACAAAAGCCATGGAGTCATCTTTGACTTCTCTCTCACTTTGTATTCAGCTCATCAGCAAATCCTGTTGGCTCTATCTTTGTGTATCCACTCCTATCACTTTGTGCCACAGACCATTAATTCTCACATGAATTATTACAATAGCCTCAAACTTGGCTCCCTATTTCTCGATCTCTTTCTTTCTGTGTATTGTCAACATAGAAATCAGAATGATTCTATTATTCTGAGAGTCAGATCATGTCAGACTGTGCTCAAAATTCTCCAGTGGATTCCCATAATACTCAGACTAAATGCCAGCAGTAGAAGATCTAATCCCTCCTCTCTCCTGTTAATTGTCTATTTAGTCAATTTTCTTCTTTCTCCCATCCCACTATTTGTTTAGCCATACCATCTTCTTTAGGATCCTTACACATGCCAGACACACTTTCACTCCAGGGCCTTTGCACTTGATGTTCTTTCTGCAAAAATATTCCTGATATCTGCATGACTAGCTTAAGCATTTGTGAAAATATTCTCTCAGTAAGCGCTTTCCTGACCACAATATTTGATTACTACATACCCACCACTACTGAGCTCCCTGTCTTGATTCATTTTTCTCCATAGTGTTGGTCACTTTCCATCTTGCTAAATAATTCACTGCTATATCATACTGAATCCAGATAAAATACATATTATTAGATGTATCAAAACAAATCAATACAAATCAAACAAATCAAACAAGTTTAGATGAGTTAATAACTGACATCTCTACTTGAGACACATGCTTAATTTCACAGCTAAATAATTTGTAAATTACAGAAAAAGATATAGCCTTACTTATTCATTTTTTAGAAAATTCTGATTAAACAAAGAACCATTCTATCAGATACATTAATCCCTAGTTATAAGATAGGCAAATAAAAATTCAAAAAGGAATTTTGAAGTTTTTCTTGTCAATGAATATACGTTTAAGAAATGTGGGAGGTTCAAAACATAATTACTGCTATTAGAAGTTATTGAAAATAGCTTGCTGCTAAAGAACTAATGGTAAAACCTTGTTATTTTTTATATCTTAATATTTATCCTCTTGAAAATGCAATGTTTTCCTCAAGGGCATGGCAAGTTGACAATAACATGGGCCTTGAACTAGATAAATAAAAGCACACAGCTTGGTTGTGCTATTTAATAGCTTTTTGCTTTTGGGCAAGAGATTCAGGGTCTGAGCCTCAAGTATCTTATCTATAAAATAGGTATGAAAACAATGGGTATAAAAACAATGTTGTGAGACTTATACATGATAAAGTCTGAATAGTGTACCTGGGCCCAGTCATTCTCTGGCTTTATAGCCTTGATAGCACTTAGCACTGTCTGAAATGATATTCACCTGTTTGTTTGCTTCTTCACTGTTTGTCTCCCTAACTGAAAAATAAGTTCAAATGAGACAATGACTTTTATCTAAAACAATGCCTGGTAAATAATGATTCCTTATTACATATTTGTAGAATGGGTGAATATATGGTAAATACTAGATGAGTTACTTTTCTTGCTGATGACTTATACCTATCTCATCTTCTGGAGTTTTCCAAACAAATAACATTACAGACACCAGTGATTCCTGAGTATAAATATCCCCAACACATTCAAAGTCCTTAGTGATGATGGCGAGATAGAAAATACATTATTGTGCAATTTAAGAAGATCATCTCTCAAAAATTATTTTTACAATTGCAGCGTAAACTGTAGAAGTCACTATGAGAAGCCCAATTTGTAGGACAATATTTATAGTAATAATCATATAATACGAAACCTGGAAATATAGAACATTCTGACCTCCATGATTCCTTACTTATTATTCAGGAAAAAAATTTGGTAGTCATAAATATGCGAGAATTCGCCACATGAACTGAAGGGAAATTTCTTTGCACAACAATAGAATCAAACAACCAAGCTCCTATGGATTCAGAGGTTCTAAGTTAAGTCTTCATTAAAGAGTATTATTTGGATAAAATGGTTATTACAACTCTATTGTTGTTTAAGAAATACTTTAAGAAATTCCTCAATGGGCCGGGCGCGGTGGTTCATGCCTGTAATCCCAGTACTTTGGGAGGCCGAGGTGGGCAGATCACGAGATCAAGAGATGGAGACCATCCTGACCAACATGGTAAAACGCCATCTCTACTAAAAATACAAAAATTAGCTGGGCTTGGTGGCACGCGCCAGTAGTCCCAGCTATTCGGGAGGCTGAGGCAGGAGAATCGCTTGAACCCAGGAGGTGGAGTTTGCAGTGAGCCGAGATCGTGCCACTGCACTCCAGCCTGGTGACAGAGTGATATTCTGTCTCAAAAAAAGAAAAAAAAGAAAGAAAGAGAAAAAAGGAAAGAAATCCGTTAATATTATCTTGCAGCTATTCCAAGTAGCTAACTACTACCAGAGATACTGCCTGCAACTTGGGTTTACACTGAGAAGGTATGAATTATGGAAAGCAAAGAAAACAAAGCTAATTTTATGCCCATAAAAGTTAATTATTTTTAAAACCAATATTATTTTTTATTTTGGCTGATTATTTTTAACCTCACATTCTACCAGTGTGTTAGTGCCCAAGAATAACCTTTCAGACTCTCAATACTATCTAAGCAAAGGTTAGTGCCAGCTGATCTCAAGTCAATAAGTTGTCATGAGAGACAAAATGAAAATGTCAAGGGAATGTTGTGATTCTTACTTCAGAAGCAGGAACGTGGTATATAAGCAATTTGCCCCACCATAACACAAAATTAATGGTAATTTTTGTGTCATAGCTTTTTAAAATTCAGGAAAAGAGTTTTAAAAGGTGGTATGGCAGGATTTGAGCTACTTTACTTCTAAAGTGCTTGATTTTATAAAGAAGAGGTAGATAGGAAAACTTGAAATTTTTGGAAGTGAATGGGAAATATACGCTTCATAGTGTTGAACAATTGTGATTTCCAAAATGAAGACTCTGCATTCTTTAAAATGGTTCAGCATTCCTTAAAATGGTGTGCTGTGAGCAGCAAAGGATTATCAATAATTCTCTTAACAAAGGTGACTACTCTATTATTAGCATACAACCTAGAAATGACTCATAGTAGCCCTGGAGAGCTGGTAGGGAAGTATGGGTGTGTGCTGAGGGTGTGTTGGAAGATATCTAGGATTTCTATCCTGCATTCAGTCTCTGCTTCTGATTACCAGCCTTTGACATGCAGACAACCTAAAACATCTGAAAAAATTATAAATTTGAAACGAATACTGAATATAAGAAGCATCAAAAGCGTAGAGCTTTTTGCGTTTAATCCAAGAAAAACATATCAATTCTCCTTATATATAAGAATAAGGGCTGAGATGAATGAAAATTTAGAGAAAGATAAATAAAACAAGATTTTTAATCCTTACAGAGTTGGCTCTAAGGCCAAAAACATACATTAATACAAGCTATTATTTTCAGATGATAATTTATATATTTGATTTAATATTAATAATCACTTTTCTATGAAATTTTGATTACAAAGACAATTTATCACAATTGACTTTAAAAAAATAAGTTTAGCAAAGGGCATAAAATCCTACAAAAATCAAATAATCTTTTTGGCTACCCAGTGATCTTAAAGAGTACATGTAATCTTCTTCAACTTCATTTAATGTTTACAGTTGAAAATCACATAATCAGTTTTGGTCAAATATCAGCATGATGATTCTGTATATTTATTCACTATGACAGGTAAATGCCTCAGGAAAGAAATACTTATGTCTACAGTGAGCAAGACAGGGCTAGCATCCTAGGCTGTAAGTAGACTGGGGTTGACTCAGGAGTTGAACCACGAATTAAATTTGTGATCCTGGCAAACTGCTCAATCTCTCAGTATCTCGGTATCCTCATACATAAGAAAGGGGTGATAATACTCATCTCACAGAGAGGTAATGAGATAATTCACACTCAGTCCTTATGCCAATGTTTTGCTCAATATGAATCTTCAGTGAATATTATCAGTTATTAAAATTTATTTGCAAGTGTGATGTTTGCATTACCCACGTTTGTCAATGCAGTGTTTCTGTGATATTCACTGTATTAAAGAAACCGGAGTTTCCCTTTTTATGTCTTCAATTCCTTTAGTTCAAACTTTCCATATCTTTTTTTATTCCTTGGATTTTAATATTTGTTTTCTATTCTTTTTCTTTTTAAGGCAGTATTATATATAGTCAAATGGACAGACCTTACATGTGCAATTTAATGAGTTGTGACAAATCTGTACACTTAGGCATTCAACATCCCTATCAGGATAGAAAACACTTCTATACTCTCAGAAAATTTCCTCTCATGCCCCTCTCAGTCAATCCTCTCTGCCCCCCAACAACAAAGGCAACTGTTATCATATTTTTAAACCGTTGATTAGTTTGGCCTGTTCTAGAACTTCAAATGAATGGTAAGTGCATGTTTAATAGTATAAGAAACTACCAAAAAAATTTTCCAACTTAACTCTTGCATTAGCAATGTTTCCAAGCTTAAATTTTTCCACAGATTCACAAATATTTGATATAGTCAGTGTTTCATGTTTTTAGCTATTCCAACAGATATATAGGAGTATTTCATTGTAATATTAATTTGTATTTACCCAATGACTCATGAGGTCCAGCATTTTTAAGTGTTTATTTGTCATGAATATGTTTGTGAAGTGTCTGAATAAGTACTTTACCCTATATAAACTTGTTTTCTATTATCAATTTGTTTCAGAGAGAGAGATATATAAAACTATATATGTATATATGCACATATACATATATAAATACATATATGTACATACCTATATAAATTGTATATATAATTGCATATGTATACAATTGTATACATATACAATTTATATATGTATATATTTATATATATTTATATAAATGTATATATTTATGTATATTTATATATTATAATATATTTATATATATTTATATAAATATATACATAAATATATACATATACAATTTATATAGGTATATATTTACATATGTATATACATATATAAATACATATATATACACCTATATAAATTGTTTTATATAGGTGTATATATGTATGTATGCATGTATGTATTCTGGATTCAAATCTTTGCTCAGATATATTTTGTGAATATTTTGTAGCTTGCCTATTCCTCTTATTGATGTCTTTGGTAAACAGAATTTTGTTTCACTTATGCTGATATCTAGTTTAAAAAGTATTTATGGTTATTGTTTTTGTGTCCTAAGACATTTTTGCTTACTCTGAGGTTCCAAAGATATTATTCCATGTTATATTCTAGAAGTTTTAGTATCTGAGCTTTGACTTTTTGGTCTATGATCCATCTTGAATCATTTTCTGTGTATGGTATAGAGTGAAGATTGAGGTTCATTTTTTTCCATGTTGATATCAAGTTGCTCCTGCACCATTTGCTTTCCACACTGATTTGCATAGGTGTCTTTTATAAAAAGTAAAAGATTGTATAAAAGTTAGTTGTGGCTGTTTGTGTTTTACAGTGATATACACAATACCTCCCATGCCACAGTTCCTTACATATGTGACTTCAACACTACTATCATTGAGAAATATAGTCTTTGTGCTCTCCTTTTAAAATTGAGTAAGGCTTTCTCATGTTGCAACCAATAGAATACTCTGGAACTAATACCATGTAACTTCTGAAGCTACGTATAAAAAGGCAATGAAACTTCCTCTTTGTTTGTTTAAATATACGCACTTGAGGCCCTGAGCAAGCCCAAACTACCGAAGTGAAAAGACTCCCTTGGAGAAACCTGAGGATACATGAAGGAAGAGATGCCAGCCAGATCCTTACTGCTACAACTGCAGCTGTCGTCTGATTACAACTCCATTAAAGAGTACAAACCAGAACCACCCAGCTAAGCCTTTCCAAATTCTTGACCCAGAGAAACTGAGGGATATAGTAATTGTTTTATTAAGGGAATGAGTTTTATGATGGCTTGTTATACAGCAATAGTTATCCAAATTACATTTTGGTTTTAGAAATGGGCACTGCCATAACAAAACCTAAAACCTTTGGCTTTAAAGATTATCTTTTGGCCAGGTAAGGTGGCTCACTCCTATAAGCCCAGCATTTTGGGAAACTAAGGCAGGCAGATTGCCTGAGCCCAGGAGACAAGCCTGGGCAACATGGTGAAACTCCGTCTCTACAAAAAATACAAAAATTAGCCATGCCTGATGGCTCATGCTTGTAGTCCCAGCTACTCAGGAGGCTGAGATGGGAGGATTACTTGAGCTTAGGAGGCCGAGGCTGCAGTGATCCAAGATCTTGCCACTGTACTTGAGCGTGGGAGACAGAGCAAGAGTATGTATGTATGTATGTATGTATGTATGTATGTATGTATGTATGTATCTATCTACCATATATATAGATACTATATATAGATACATATACATAATACATATAGATATAAAAATATATCTTTTTGTAGATATATATAGATATAAATATATAGATATCTTTTTAAAACAATAGAGCTTGTAAGAATTTAAAGATATAATCCCATGATAGTCACACAAAGAGCATAAGGAATACAAAAGAACTTTCTAGATATGGCTCCAGTTTAATGGAATATCTTATAAATTGACATGTAAAAACTCAGGTGTTCTTTTTATTGGATGATCCCTATTTCTCTGTCTTCAGGTTTACTGAATGTTGTTCTGCTATCTCCAATCTTTAATTCATGCAGTAAGTTTTTAATTTCAGATATAATTTTCATTACTGGAGTTTTCATTATTTTTGTTAATACATTTCACTTATCTATTGAGATTCCATATCTGCTTATTCCTTTTGATATCGTTTTCTTTTAAATTCTTGAACATATTTATGATAGCTATTTTAAAATCTTTGTCAGCTAATGTGAACATCTGCATCACTTCAATTTGCCTTCCATTAACTGCATGTTTTCCTTGTTATTAAATTTTCCTGTTTTTTTGTATGTCTAGTATGTTTTTATTGTATCTGGACATTATGGATATTAAATTGTTGAGAATATGGTTGATTTGGGTTTTCTTATTTTAAAAATTGTTGAGATTTTTTTCTGGCAGATATTGAGTTTACTGGAAGATCATTTCAATCCTTTTGAGACTTAGTTTCATGTTTTTTAAGGCAGGACTAAAGTATCCCTTACAGTAGGAATAGAACAGCTGAGCTCTTATAATGTGACCCTTGTAAATTTGTTTAAGTTCCTCATAGATGCTTTATATTAGATGTTTGTCAGGTGCATAGTTTGCAACAATTTTCTCTGATTCTGTAGGTTGTCTGTTGACTCAAGCCTGCTAACTCACTGTCAACTGTTGACAGTTTCTTTTGCTGTTCGGATGCTCCTTAGTTTAATGAGATCCAATTTGTCAATTTTTGCTTTTGTTGCAATTGCTTTTGGCAACTTCTTCATGAACTCTTTGCCCATGTGCTGAATGGTATTGCTTAGGTTGTCTTTCAGGGTTTTTATAGTTTTAAATAAACAACACCACTAAAAGGTGGGCAAAGGACATGAACAGACACTTTTCAAGAGAACACATACATGTGGGCAACAATCATGTGAAAAAAAAAACTCAACATCATTGATCATTACAGAAATACAAATCAAAACCACAACAAGATACCATCTCACACTATTCAGTCAGAATGGCTATTATATAAAAAGTCAAAAATAACAGATGCTGGCAAGGTTGTGGAGAAAACGGAATGCTTATACACTGTTTGTGGGAGTGTAAATTAGTTTAACCATTGTGGAAGACAGTGTGGCAATTTCTCAAAGATCTAAAGACAGAAATACCATTAGAACCTGCAATCCCATTACTGGGTATATACCCCCAAAATATAAATCTTTCTATTATAAAGACACATGCATTTGTATGTTCATTGCAGCACTATTCACATTAGCAAAGACATGGAATCAACCTAAATGCCCATCAATGATAGACTGGATAAAGAAAATGTGGTACATACATACCCTGGAATACTATGCAGCCATAAAAAAGAACGAGATCATGTTCTTTGCAGGGACATGGATAGAACTGGAGGCCATTATCCTTAACCTACTAATGGAGGGGAAAAAATACTGCATACTCTCACTTATAAGTGGGAACTAACCAATGACAACACGTGGACACCTAGAGGGGAATAATACACCCTGGGGACTATCAGAGCATGGAGGTAGGGAGCAGGGAGAGGATCAGGAAAAATAACTAATGGGTACAAGTTTTGATACCTGTTTGACGAAATAATCTGCACAACAAACCTCCACGACACAACTTGCCTATGTAACAAACCTGGGCATGCACCCTTGAACTTAAAATAAAAATTAAAAAACAAAATTACCCTTGCAGCATGTCACCTGAGTGCCCCAGGTTTGGTAAACTTTTAAAATTCTGGGTGGGCAGAACTGCTATATCATTCAGCACTCCTTGACCTCCAATATTTCAGCTCAATATCTTGGCTCAGCTCACAAATTCCCCGTTTGCCCCAAACC
Source organism: Homo sapiens (assembly GCF_000001405.40). Taxonomy (NCBI): domain Eukaryota; kingdom Metazoa; phylum Chordata; class Mammalia; order Primates; family Hominidae; genus Homo; species Homo sapiens. The sequence continues at coordinate 85,119,934 of NC_000007.14, forward strand.
CTTTCCGAGTCGCACCATTAAGTGAATTTTTTTTTTTTTTTTTTAGAGACAGGGTCTTGCATACAATGATGCAGTCCTAGCTCACTGCAGTCAAACTCCTGGGCTCAAGCAATCCTCTCGCTTCAGCCTCTTGAATAGCTGGGATTATAGGCATGTACAACTGGTGGTTTATTTCTTTCATCTTTGCTGCCTATTGCTCAATATCTAAAAATAGTTGCTTCATGTAGTTTATCTAGTTGAAGAGTTGTTTATGGAAGAAGGTATAATTCAATACTATTTATACTGGCAAGGTTAAAAGCCTTGACTTTGTTTTTAATTTATAGCCTAAACCTTACCAAAACTGTTAATGTTCACTTGAAACTAAGATAATTTTAGGGGAATGACAGAAAATTGAATATATCTATGATTAAGAAATGGAAGACATTCAAATACAGGTTTTAGTTATCGATTGTGGCCAGGCGAGTTGGCTCACTCCTATAATCCTAGCACTTTGGGAGGCTGAGGTGGGCAGATCACTTGAGGTCAGGGGTTTGAGACCAGCCTGGCCAACACGGTGAAACCCCATCTCTACTAAAGATACAAAAATTAACCAAGCATGGTGGTGGGCACCTGTAATCCCAGCTACTCAGGAGGCTGAGGTGGGAGAGTCGCTTGAACCCAGGAGGCGGAGGTTGCAGTGAGCCGAGATCATGCCCTGCCCACCAGCCTGGGCAACAGAATGAGACTTCATCTCAAAAAAAAAAAAAAAAAGGTTTTAATTATTGATTAAATAAGACATCAATAAATGATATTTCATAATGTGATCAATTTTTCCAGATAAAAACGTCCTAGATTACCAAAAAATATACTTCCAATTTAAATGAGTTTGATACATATAAATACATAAGAACTCAAAAATACATAAATTATTGTTTAACTCTTTAATACATGACATATATTCTGTACAAATACCAACATATAAAATTTATAATGGATATAATGTGCTAATTCAACTTACTCTTAGATTTGACATCCAATTTGCTTTTATTATTGGTATTTCGTTTGTCTATAAAATGTGATCTTAAAGATATCAGAGGATATTCAAATTGCCAGCATAATTTTTGCCTATCACATTGAGAATAAAGAAGTTTTATTCTCCCTACATCCCTTTTATTTCTTGAGGTATTAATGAAGCCCGGAGTACATCAAAAAGGAAAACTAAAGTAAAAACTATTTGGGCGTGAAACTGGACACAGACACACACAAAGTTGACCAACCATAATTCATATAAACTTTGCTTTTATATCAAACATTTAAAAACAACTAGCTTAGCAGATTTCATTTCTTAGAAAATTGTTTCATCTTTTTTATATTTAAACCTTTCACATTGTCTTTTTCTATTACCAAGTACATATATAGTTGAGAACTTGAAGCTATCCTGCTGTCTTAAATTCTTTTTGAAGATACCTTACTGTGTTTTAAAAAAAATCCCCTCTAACTAGGAATAAACTAGTAAGAGTTATATGAAATGTGTTAACATTTTTCTATTTTTAGGAATTTATTTGTTTTAACACCAAACTGTTTACCACTTGCAGATCAAATTGAATATTATAAATACTGGGCTGAAAAGGGTACTTGAATAGCTTTAGCATCTTTTTCCTCACAAAAATGAGTAATTGGGCTTCGTGTTCTATAATTCTATTTTTATGAACTGATGCCAAAACATTTCACAGAAGTCAATATGCTTTTCTAAAAAGAAAAAATATAGCAATCAAAAAAGACATTTCAAAATCTTAATAAACAATTTAGAAAATATGTATATATTTACCTTTGTAGGTTAGCTTGAGTCTTGGAATATTTTGCTTCAAAGTGCCAGTGACTGGAAGAAACAACATGGTCATGCTTAGCATCATCAAAGCAGGAAAAAGGTGAAAATCTTGGCTTCTGGCTTTAAGTCTTTCATCTTTATTAGCATTCATGATGAAAACAATGTTCTCTTTCAAATGGTGTTAATTTAATCTAAAAAAGAGTAAAAAAAAAAAAACTATTAAGGTATCAGCAAACTGACACAGGAAGAGAAAACCAAATACCATATCATCTCACTCTTAAGTGGGAGTTGAACAATGAGAACACATGGACACAGGGAGGGGAACATAGCATACCAGGGCCTGTTGGGGGCTGGGGGCTGGGGGAGGGAGAGCATTAGGAGAAATACCTAATGTAGATGACAGGTTGATGGGTGCAGCAAACCACCATGGCACGTGTACACCTATGTAAGAAACCTGCACGTTTTGCACATGTATCCCAGAACTTAAAGTACAAAAAAAAAAAACTATTAAGATAACAATTGGTAGACTTTCCTCAACTTACTAAATTATAATGTTCTGAATGTATATAGATTTTTAAAAATAATTTTCCCATCGCTCTTGTTTTACTCTTATAGAAATGAATCAGAACTGGGGAATAAAATTAAGGACTGGCTTTGCTCAGATGTAGAAATAAATGCACCACAAGAATTTAAACTATTTTGTTATTTAACATTTTTTCCTTGACTAAAGTTGTTTTTGTGTTTTGTTTAAGCAAATATCTGAAGAACCAACTTTTGTCGAAACTTGAATTATTTGATCAGACGAGACCACTTTCACTGGTAGAAGCCTATACGTGCCCCATATCATCCCCAAATGAAAAGATCCACCAACTAAAACAGACAAAAGCTGTCATTTTGAGACAAGTTCTCTTGTTTCTGAGTTTAGAGACATCTAAAAATTACACTTAAATGTGAGAAACTAACTTTAATTAGGTCAGGGCCCCAGTATAGGTGTTAGGCCTGGAACAATGCAATGTTACCTGAAACCTGTATTATTCCACACAGGGAAGTAATGAATAGAAAAACAAATTCCAAAATATAAGGGTTTATAAGAGGGAGGAGGTGGTAATTAACTGGGTTGCCATAAAATAGGCTAACTTGGTTGTTTTCTGTAAGATGTAGAGTCAATCAAAACACGTATTCCAAACTAAGCCTGGTAACAAAAATTACAAATCATATTATCGAGCATTTATATGTTCCCAATACTTTTTTAAAAGTGCTTTACATAGATTAAATGATTTAATTTAAAAACAGCCATTAAGGGTGGGTAATTATTTATCTCACTTCACCGATGAAACAAAATTGAGGTACAGAGTTAAATAGTTCTTCCAGGGGTACACGGCAAGTAAGAGATGGATCAAATCAACACATCATCAGGACTTTAGCTAGAGTCTGCTTTCTTCACACCTAAGTCTTCCAGTGCTTTGCATTATGGTAGAATCTAGTGATCTTCAGCTCCTGCCAGAGTCTTCAACTTCTCTTCCATGTTAATTAACTTACTGCTGTTACTAGGAAATAGGCCACAGGACCAATAATTTATTTGATGATAGATTTATTGGTGATAGCTTTGATCATAATAAAAAAAGCATTAGACTTTAAGTAATTTTGTAATTAGTTAACATTCAAAATAAATATTTTATGCCTATATTGTTTAGTTTTAAGAGAAGGCCTAATAAGGGTTGAATTTTTCTTAAGTGAGATCAGCTCTTCAGTGTATTAAAATGTCTCCCAGACTTTGAATATCAAGATTTCAGTTACCTTAAATCTCAGTAGTTAAGTCAAGTCTTGGGAAGTAAAATAAAATCAAATTTTGATGTGTATTATGTTTATACATGATAAACATTTAAGGATAGACTTCAAATTTTATGCTGCATTTCTTCATGAAATGTTAAACATGAGTGCTTAATAAGTTGTTTCATCAATCATTACATTTCATTACATTCAAAGATACCTATAAGGAATACTAAATTATTCTTTGTATATAATCTGTCAACATTTAATTCTTCTTTTAGAAGGTTACTACATATGCATATAAGTTGGTTTAGATTCTCTTTCAATCATGTTGTATTAAATATAACAAATATTGCATATTTTATTTACATTTAATTGACATTTCCTGAACGTTTCACCTAAATTAAATAAAATTTGAGAGACAACAGGAATGTCTTTCTGACCAAAACCTACACCATCAGCAGCCCTTTATGAAAATTTTAGTTTTAAAAACTTCAATTATGCTAATTTTAATATATAACACTAATAAAGCCTTTTTTAAAAAATAACCTAAAGTCCTAAAAATTATATTATTTAACTGCCAGTAGGAACACATTAATGCCATTGCCACAAAACAGTCACTTTAACTGATCTACAGAAAAAAATTTATCAGATTAGATTTGAATATATGAGTTTTGAATCATTCAATCTCAATGCATTCTTGCAACTTGTTAGTTTTAAAAGTTAGTTTCAACTTGTTAGTTAGAATACCAGTATTCTTTGACTTACAGATTCTCCTTAAAAACTTGCTGCTTTTATACAAATTCCAATACAAGTTTTAAATATGTATATATTTATATGTTAATAAAGATATATTTATATAACTTGTGATGGTATTTGAATATATCTAACATATATTCACTTATATATATTCTTATCAGCCATTGGCATCATATCTAATCGCTGACCATTTATAAGGTGAGGAAATGAATAAGATTATTTTTCTGAAGGGAATGGTTGATTATACACAATAAAGTACCATAAAATAAATTTAAAATGGAGACATTTATGATACGCTATGCAAGATAACTCAAAGGAGTATCATATAGGCTTAAACAAGACAAGTATACTTTCATGGAGGACAGAGAAAAGAGACTGGAAAAGCAAACAGAGACAGTTCCAGAAAACAGTGAAACCTTGTTAAGGACTCCTGAACAGCAAGGCAGGTTGCATGATAGACTTGGTTATATGGCTATGAGAGGGAAGAGAATGTGGCATAATTCAGTGGCATAGAACAGAAGGACACCAAAGAGAATCTTGGGCTAACTCTTAAATTTGGCTCTGCGTATTCTGGTACCTAATACATTAGGACTCAAAACAATGCATATGGTCACTTCGTACTGCCTTTTGGTATTGATCAAGTGTGCTGTTCCACCCACATTCATCAGTGCTTCTCCAATCGCATTATCCTGTTCCTTCCATTATTTCTTGTATTCACATTATTAGCAAAGCGCTGATATCTGATTGCAGCAGACTCACAGCTGTGGCATACAAACATGTATTCTCCCTCCTACCCATACCCTCTAAAAAAAGTGAAAGGTAAAATGAATGCAGAGACTGAGTATATTGAATTTCTCATTACACTTTTTTTTTGAGCTTCTGGACATGTGAAATACCTTTTTATGACATGTAACAATGCATGTAACGTGAATGTATGTTTATATACATAGGCAAAAAAGAGGGAACTTTCCATATGTGCATTTTATTAGCAATAATGACCTCAGTGCAGGACATTTCCTGGGAATTAATGACTAGTTGGGGTTAATGGCCCTTGGCTATGCATTGAGATACCTACTCCTCCAACTGGTCATTAATCGCTAAGACATGCCCTGTGCCTCTAACATCGTAAGTTAAGAAGATTGATGTTTTGGTTTTCACTGAACAGTAGTAACACTGTTCCTTGTAACCAAACTCATTAATATTGTTAAATAAGTTAAAAATCAAAGCCCTGCTTTCCTTACTACTAAGACATTCTGAGAAGTGCCCACGTGTGCTGAACCTGTACTTGGAGGAACAAAATAAAGTAAAAATGGTGAAACTGCTGGAACTTAAAAGCCTTTATATATTTTTCTACTATAAAACAGTCAAGACCTACAATCTACTGGTCCTGATTCTTTGTTTTTCTTCCCAACAATCCTATAAATTCAATAGTTAATCCTTTAATTGAGATAATTTATGGGTTAAACGTCTTGCCAACAACCTCCTTCCTACTCTATTGATATTTTGCTGTCTTCGTGTGTGTGTGTGTGTGTGTGTTGTGTGCACATGTGTGTGTGTTGTGCATCTGGGATGAATTATGGAGAGAAGTAGGTGTGATTTAACCAAAAGTGGGTGGATTTAGTGAAATGCATAGGTTATACTGCATGCTACTGTCTGTAACAAGCTTGACCTGGAGCCAATTAACTGCATATAATCTATTCCAGATGCTCCCTGATAGAAACAGCACTCTTGGGAATCTTCAGATGTGGAGCCAATAGGGAGTTTTCTGATTATGAGAGACTTTTACACACTGTTCCACTAAATCAGAGATCCAAATGCATAATCTAACCTCAAGAAGGCCTTGTGCCATTTCCCTAAGGAACACAAAGAGTCCAGAACTTACTAGATGGATGGTAAAATTTATTTGAGGAGCAAGAAATATGAAATTTTACATGTGAACTTCATTGATTTGCTTTATTTATTCATATGCATTGGTTCCAAAAGTCATTAAGCCAGGATCAGGTACTATTAATGTGAAAAAGTAGCTTCTATGCACGGAACAATGATTAAAATATGTAAGTCTTCTTGCATGAAAATCTAGAACACTTAGATTTAGGATTCTTTCTCGTGTGTGTGTGTGTGTGTGTGTGTGTGTCGTGTGTGTGTGTGTGTGTGTGTGTGTGTGTGTGTAGGTTGGGGAAGGGAAGGAAAGAACCCCTGATTTTTTAATTTTATAAAGAGCTCTTTGTTCTTTATACCTTAGTGGTACATATAAGGTCACTTGAGAATGTTTTTTACCCAATTCAGAAAGCACAAGGAAATATGCCTATCTCAGCATTAAAAGCAATATCTGTATTAACTCACTTTTGCCAAATTGCTGCTCCTATTTTGAGCTATTGTTTGATTAGATGGTTTTCCTGTAGGGTGCACATGACTGATCAATTATTGGTAACATTACTTCCTGGCATGGCTGTGGACAGCACAACAAAGAGGGATTATAGAAAAAAACTCGAAAGCCAAAGGGGTAACATAGGCAAACACAGAGAAGCTTTATGTTACAGGGGGCTATTATTTATTCCATTGATCAAGTGCAATAATATCAAAGTAGGATTCAAGTGGTATGTGAAAAGGTCCACAGGAAAAGAGCTTGGAATGCTAGAACTTTCACATAAATTTATCCTATCCTTTCTAAGTTTCCTTCTGTGTATTTTCTAATAGGCATATAAAATATCCTACTACTTTAGTAAGATAGCAAGTATTTGTTGAAAGACTAATTGTCCATTGTCTTCAGATGCCATGAATTCTCCATCAAATGATATATTCTAAAGGAGTCTGGAAGGCCATCTGACTCCTCAGAGATCATGAAGAGTCTTATATTTGATTAAATGCTAATCTACTTCCAAACCTCTTTATGATGGCCAATGATATTTCTCCACACACCAAACAAATTACGATTATCATCAGAAATTAGTTGTAGAGCTGAGCTAAGCTATTTGTCAGTAAATATAAATTACAGTACCTACATTTTTATTTTGTAGCGGTTTAAACATTATGTTTGCATTGCTAAAATACACTGAGAGTATATAGTTTATAATCCCTGTTCAACAAAGCAACACTGTTAACATTTTACTTGGGTTTGCATGCCTTATAGCCATGTACTAAGAGCCAAATAAAATTCTGTAAGATCTTACCTCTAATGAATTCAACAGAAAATAATACAATTGTGAGATTTTAGAATATATGTGTGTAATCTCTTAGGTTTAAGCCTTGTGGGTTTCATTTTTTCCTGACCATAACAGTAACAACAAAATAATTTTTAAATTGTAAAGAGGTCCCAAAGAAACAAAGTGCCTCCAAGGTCTAAACTGTTGAAGTTAACACATTTATAAAAATTTAATAAAATATTACTGTGAATGACTTTATTGATATTCATTTTCCTCATCCTAAATCTCAAATCAATTTGCTCTTCAAAGCAGCAATTGATACTTATCAATTTGAAGGGTCAGAGAAAGTACTAACATCATCAGAGTTGACCTTTCTTCAAATCAGATTAATCGACAGCCCAAAGTTTCAATATTTTCCTTTTCAAATTCTTATACCCTCGGGAGCATTTTAACTCATACAACTTTTCATGACCCAGATAATCTTATAATATGCTTTTGGATAATTGTAGAACATTTTGTCAACTTTTAATGTCTGCACTCAAAACATAAATCGGTTGTTTTTTAAACTCAAAAGCATCAACCTCAAATATTCTGATATGTGCCTCTTAGGTATATCTGCTTTTTTTTTTATGAAGAGACTTGAATAAAGCAGAGTAGGAATTATTGAAAATATGAAAGGAAAATTATTATATTTTCTTGGAATAATGAACTAAGAATTAACTATGTTTTTATTTATTTTATTTTATTTTATTATTTTATTTTATTTTATTTTTGAGGCAGAGTCTCACTCTGTCAACCAGACAGGAGTGCAGTGGAGCAATATCTGCTCACTGCAAGTTCCACATCTCTGGTTCAAGTGATTCTCCTGCCTCAGCCTCCTGAGTAGCTGGGATTACAGGCGCACGCCACCATGCCTGGCTAAATTTTTTGTATTTTTTAGTAGAGATGGGGTTTCACCATGTTGATCAGGCTGGTCTCAAGTTCCTGACCTCGTGATCCACCTGCCTCAGGCTCCCAAAGTGTTGGGATTACAGGCATCAGCCACTGCACTGGGCCAACTATGTTTTTATTATTGAGATATGCTTATTTCTAATTTAGTCAAGCCCTTTTATTTTTTAGAAATGTCATTTTTATCAAAACTAAGCAATATTTTGGCAAATATCCAAAAATTTTAATTTATTCCTTTCTGAAATTCACATTCAGTTATTCATTCAGCTGTTGAATTATATGTCCATTTAATATTTCCCCAGAATTTATAATCTATATCTAATATTATAAATATTCTGCCTATGTGAATAAATGGATTTGAATTGTAAAAAATTGATTATTCATAATAAAATGTACAGAATATTCTATTTTATAACCAAGTTAGTGGCTCCATGGTCTCTGTATCAGCATAAATAATTGGGTAGTTGGAAACTTGTTTTTCAAAGCAATACAGATATTTTTATGATATATATATATTTTTTTCCTTTTTTTTTTTTTTTTTTTTAGAGATAGATAGGGTCTCACTCTGTAACTGAAGCTAGAGTGCAGTGGCATGACCACAGCTCATGGCAGCCTGGACTTCCTGGGCTCAAGTGATCCACCTGCCTTGGCTTCCTGAGGAGCTGGGATTATAGGCATGTGCCACTTGCCCAGCTAATTTTTTTTTGTAGAGATAGGGTCTCACTATTTTGACCAGGCTGGTCTGCTCTTGAACTCCTGGCCTCAAGTGATCATCCTGCTTCAACCTCCCAAAGTATTGGGATTACAGGCGTGAGCCACTGTGCCTCACCTACTTTATTATATTTTAAAATATTATCATGGTGTTTCTTTCAGCAGCACTTATTCTAAGGTAAGATCAATGCAAAGATGCATGAAGAGAAGAGCACAACACCTACATAGGAACGACAGATAAATTTGTAAAACAGAATTTCTTTTTATTTATTGACATGTGTGGTAGTCATGTTTTTCACAATCTTCATATGTATATTTTAATTTTCTAATTAAAAATATTTACTGAAAAAAATTAGTTATGTCAAAGGAGGAAAAATTGAAATTTTTTTGTTATTTAATACATATCTTATCAGACTGTGAGATGAGGATTTCATCTTATCATCAAAACAACATACAGAAGTTATAGTTGCCAACATGTAAAAATATGTAAGCCTGCTTATACACAACCACTTATGTATAGGAAATAGCATTTCAATAAATTCCTACACTAAGACTAAATGATAACATGGGGTTATACCTACTTAGTTTAGAATTTTAAGGTTGTAACTACTGGAAAGCAGTAAATAATTATGAAATAATTAAATTACGTTTTTGGATGTATGCTGTAGGACAATATAAGGATTCTTCATAAAAATCCTAACCTTTTATATAAACGGATAAAGAAATGCCATCAAATCTACCATCAATGCCCATATTTAACAGCAAACATTTAATCTAAAAAAACTGCACGTAGCAGGAAAACTATGACCTTGAGTTTCATATTCACATAAATTCTCCAGGAACACATGTACTGTTAAGATCAAAACACTTATAATGAGTTAAATGAATCCTATATAGCCTAATTTTATTTTTTTAAAAAAGATGTGCTAAATTTATTAACACTATTTGTTTCTTTCTTCACTATTTAATGAAACACCTTAGGGAAGTAAACACCCTAGGGAAATAGGATAAAAAATTTAAATAATTTTCATAAGCATAACGCTATCTGGGAACACAAATAGGCAGATGTGAAAGGAACTTAGCATCACATGTGGAATTTAGGAACCAAGTCTTCATATCGGATTTGAATTTCATGGTATTTGACCAAACTCAGCAACTATCAATAACTAACATTTTAAATTCAACAATTGATGATGACTTATGCAATCAAAAAGGGCAGCTTTTCTTTCAACAAATGAAAGAATTGTCCAGCACTCTTAGCAGTAATAGTTATTTAGTGAACATTTTTTATATTTCTAATGATAATGACATATGTTCATGCATTCCATCTTGTTTTAACATGCTTCAAATGCAACTGTTCCAACCCACTTGTATTTCTAATTGTGTCACTATAAGGTAAACATTATAGAATAAGTTTGCACATGCTCATTGTTGGGGCCTTCTGGCCCAGAAACGAGCTGGATGTCTGGAAAATCGTTATCCCTAGGAGAAATCTGAATTTTGCTATAAATAATTTACCAGCTTCTACCAGAAATTCAAAAGTTCTCGAATCCCTGACTCAGTAAATATTCCTATGTTCGGTTTAACTCTGCTATTGAGAAAGTTAAAAATAGCTTAAAACAAATATATAAGTTTTATAAATAAATTGATATCATAAGTTCCATTATTTGTACCTTATATGACTGCCTTGTCATACAAGGTAAAAGAAGTTTCTTTTAGCTACACCTCCACATATCCCAGGTCATATCTTCCGTAACTCTTCTGGGACATGTCAAAACACACTAGCACAGTGGTTAAGCGCACAGGCAAAAAGCCAAGGTCTGTCACTTGCTTTCTGTTTGTCCATGGGCCAGTTACTTAACCATACTGTGGCTCATGTTTCTCACCTGAAATTGTGGATAACAAGGGTATCTGATTCCTTCGTTGTAAGGACTAAGAAACCATGATGTAAAGCACCGCACCCTGCCCAGTACACAGTAAGTGATCCATGAGTGTTAGTCATTTAAAAATCATTATATTCAATTTGTCTTAATTTTCTATTAAAACTCGATTTAAGAACAAGAGAAAATTATGGTTTTAAAGACAATTCATGATTATCTGAAAGTACAAGTACAGTTTGTAAGGCCTGTAAAGCAGAGTTTTCAGGAAAATACTATATAACATCCAAGAGTATGAAAGCAAATGAAGAAAATAATTTTAATTCTTTGAGATCATAAACACAAAGAAACAAGCAAGCAAATAAATTCCATTTGTATAGTTTAAACGGGGAGAATGAAAGTGATGGTTTGAATCTGATTATGAAGGATATAACATAATTGTATTTGGAGCACCTCTAATGCTACTCATTTAAATTAAATCACATAATTTATCAAGAAAGAGAAAATAACTAAATACCCGATCAACAATAACCTCATATAAAACTTTAAAATCAAAGTAGAATAAACATTGGTGAATATGTGTAGTACTTGACTTTTAAGATTTTTACTTGGATTAAAAAGATTCAAAGAAGTGTGCTTCCTTTAATGCCTTCTCCAGAAAGGATACTAGTTTCTAAAGGGGAAAACAAATTTTAAAAATCTTGTGGATCTTGTGAAATACGAAGATATAGTACATTCAATGGTATTTTCAAAGTATAACAATAATGTATGTCTGCAATTCAATATATCCTTTGTATTGAATCTTAACAGGTGGTAATTTAAAAAAAATTTATGCATCTATGAGACTTAATTCAGTGTTCTAGTCTCCATTCCCACACCTAGTATTTAGTTTTACAACTAGTATAGTATGGTTTAAAGGTGTAAAGTTTTTTAACAAACTCTTTATTAATGTTTTCTGTTTTCAGCTTTCTTTAAAATTTATTCTTCCTAAATATGATGCCACTTAGGAACCTCACATAATTTATATTTTAGTAGTTGCTGACCATTTTTGAACATATGTCTGAAATTATTTTAGATAGTTAATTAAAATAATTTTTACATGAAAAAGAATCATGTTTAAAAACAGCTATATTTGTTTATGATCAATTTTTGAAACTATTTTTACTTACATTAAAATTGTCATGTTTTTACCAAGTATATTTAGACATCCATACCAGCTTATAAAACATAGTTTTGATCAAATTTCATTTATAATACCCTGTGATTATATATCAAACATAGCAAAACTTTCATAAATAGCAAGAAAACAAAAATTATTTTATTGACTATGGAAACTCGTAAAACAGTGAAGCAATGTCTCCTAACTTAAAACATGGCAAAATTGGATATCATATTGAGATTGAATTAGGTTTTGGTAGGTTAAACATAAAAAAATACTTTTAATAACATTTTAAACCATTTCAGATCTTGAACATGCCAGTATTATTTGTAACAGTTTTCAAAATTACTATATTTGTAGCATACCAAGAGTTGAAGTTGTCTCTGCCACAGATTCAAAGAGCTAGTATGTATCTTAGAACATCTTAATATTTCTGGTGGTTCTAACATGGACTATTAAAAGAACATATTAAAAAATACATATTTGCATAAGGATGAAATGTTTCTCTAGCATGAACATTACTGTCCTCAAATCAAAATTAATAAAATTAAAAATTAATGTCAATGTATTATATAATTCCAAATAACATAATAAAATGTAGAAATATCATCTTATAATTAATACAAGTTTTATACTATCTTTATATATGCCTTCACATGAATTTATTATATTTTAAAGTATGACCTCATAACACTGTTTTAGAAACATTATTTGATGTACTGGACATGCAATATAGAAGCATAATATGGATCTTATTAAAGAGCTTCTATCATTAATGCTGAATTCATCTCTTTTACATTCTCTTAATACGTATAAGGGAGTAGTTCCTGGACTAATATATTCGTGTTCAGAAAGTAACTTGCAGTTCCCCAGTGCATACGCAATATGTATAGAATGAGTTGGGGTATTGTCTTGTGACAGTGAGACTAATAAAGTGCCAGAAATTTCAGCTTCTTTATCAGGCAGCCACATATTTATAAAAAAAACCTCTCTGGTCTTCCTATGTAGATATGTTTTCTTTCTTTCTTCTTTTTGCATGACTGTTCTGTTGAAGTCATGTGTTGAATATTTGTGCTATCTAATTTCCCCTCCACCCTTATCGCCCTCCTTATCTAGTTCTCTATCAACATAGTAGTATCAGTTTCTGAGCTGTGTTTAGTCTCATCCTTATATCCTCAGCTACATCTTAAAAACTGGACTTACATGAATATTAAAAAGTGCCTCAGTCAGGATAAGCAGGGGATTCCTGGGTTGAGCATACATACAGCTGCCGATGGATATTTCTCCATTTTTATTTTTTACATCTTTCCCTCTTGGAGAAAATATAATACCTCTTACTACATGATCTCAGAAGTTGACTTGAAAGCTAGCACGATGTTCTAAAACTAGCGCAACGTTCTGAATTTTTAAATACAGAGTTCAATTCAGATAGTCTCTCAAAATCCTCAATAATTAAACTTATTTGTTTTTACCATGTGTTATAGCAACTGAGATAAAATTCTTGAATTTTCCAGGGATTGCTCAGCCTACTGGTTAAAAGTTCAGTCTCTGGCTATAAGATGGTTTGGTTGTAATTTCTATTTTGTTACTTATCAACTTTATCCTCTGAAAGAATTCACTTAATTTCTTTAAGTCCAGTTTCTGCATCTACGAAATAGGATTATCAGTTCTTATCAAATATGATTGTTGTGAGAATAAAATGAAATAATGCATGGAAAGCACTTAGTATCTTCTCTGGCACATAGCTAGCTCTAACAAATGTTAGCTTAATGGTCTTCCATTTTTACATGGACTATGATAGCAAGTATTTTCTAAAGATAGTAAGTAAATATGAAACTTAAAAGGAAGTCTGGAAACTCCCATATTCTCCTATCATATTTACAAATGTGTTTGTATAATTTGGCATTAAAATTCTCAACTCCCATTCCACAGTGTACATGTTTTTCAATGCACAATTAGATAAGGTCCCTATTGCAGTATTAACAATACATTATTTTCCTCCGAACTTCTAATTCATTGAGCCTCTATGCACTGCCAAACTGAAATCCTAATAAAAAGAACATACTTAATTGCTTTATTGGATGTGGAAATTGTTAGACTATACAAAATAAAAGGCAGAATGAAAAATATTTTTTTAGAATTTTCAACTAGAGACTACTAAATATGTTTGAAGAAAAGTCTATGAGGGAGGTCTTGGAGCTGATATAAATGCTTAGAAATGGTTTTGACAGAAAGCCAACCTAAAGTTATTTTTGAAGGCTTATTTGGATATTGTAATAACCAAAAATGTTTATGCATATCAAGAAATTTAGTTTTAATTACAACTTCTGTACTTTTTTAGAGTATTCAAAACATGAGTTGTTATAGCATAATAAAAATAACAGTTTAAAATATATTTCCAAGTGATAAGTAGATCATTCCCTAAATCTTGCAAGATTTTCATTTGTACCTTCCAGAACAAGCATAATCTCCAACTACCGAAACATGTACTTTTACTTCTTTTGAACCACATGAATTCGGGATATCTATTACATTTACCACGGTATCCCCAAAGCTTAACACAGTCTCTGGTATGGAGTCAGATGTGAGTATTTATTTATTAAATAAATGAAAGAAGAACTCAGTCTCATCTTTGCTTCACCAGCCCACTTCTTTGACATATGATGGAGAAGCTTTTCAAATCTCTTTACAGTATCATTGTGTATAATATCATAAAAACTCAAAAACTTTGTGTCTCCCCAAGTGTCCAAGGAACATATGGGAATGTGGGGACTAAACTAGAAAGAACTATAGATGTTATAAAGATTCATACCCTCCAAAACGGGAGGAATAACTGAGTGATTCAGGGACATTCTTTGTAATTCTGGGTATCTTTTTGCAAGTTTTTAGAACCACATTTTTTTTTTCTAACATCACTTGAGAATATCCTAGAAAACCCCTGTGTGTAGAGAAGGGCCACGAGATAATGGTGAGAATTTGAACTTTGGAGTCAGACAGGCTTGATTATGAATTCCAGTTTTACCATTTCCAGGATAAGATTTTCTTTGAAATTTAGCAGGTAACGGCAACTTTGCTATGTTTTTGCATTTGAATTAATGTACTTTAAAATCTGTATCTACATAGTACTTGCAAAATAAACAATGGCTATTATGACAATTATTTCTTTCTTTTTGATACAATTATTTCTTATTATAGACTAGGAGAGTTCCTTTCCCTCAACTGGTTATGGTTTGCACATGAATCATGTTGGTAGTTATAATTCAGAAGTGAGCAAATGCTCATTTAACTGTCGCAAGAACAAAAAACCAAACACGGCATGTTCTCACTCATAGGTGGGAACTGAACAATGAGAACACTTGAACACAGGAAGGGGAACATAACACACCGGGGCCTGTCGTGAGGTGGGGGTAGAGGGGGAGGGAAAGCATTAGGGGAGATAGCTAATGTAAATGATGAGTTAATGGGTGCAGCACACCAACATGGCACATGTATACATATGTAACAAACCTGCACATTGTGCACATGTACCCTAGAACTTTAAGTATAATAAAATAAATAAATAAATAAATAAATAAACATTAAAAAAGAAAAAATTAGAAAAAATTAATTAGAAAAAAATCAATTTGCAAAGTTTTGTCAAGTTTCTCCCTCTTCCTATCCCTGTTGGCTCAGTAAAAAAAAAAAAAAAATTATAATAAGAAAATGATATTTCAATGGGATTATTTACTATCACGTTTCTACTTCTCCTTCTCTCTTCCTGTGAATTGTTGAGTTGTATCCAGAAGACAAAGCATAAAATTAAGTAGAATTTAAAGACATATTTGAGAACTATCCATTAAGCATTTATCCTGTCTATACAATTCCCACATTTATAGAAAATTCACAGCACAGACCTTTTCCTAAATAAATGCAAACCCAGATTAAAAAGAGGATGAGAGAGCAATGTCTAATTGGTAAAATATGCAAGCTACTCAGAGGAAAAATGTAGAGATGTAGAGATTATTGCTATCTTGGGTAAGAAAGAATGTAGAGTTCAATTGTAATAGTGCATGCGTGTGTCCTTTGGAATGCCAATGAAGAGCAACGAATTCTTGATTATAAAACAATGAGAAAAAGATATCTTTCTATCCTTGGCACTTCAATAAATCAGTTTTTCAGACAATGCTTCAGCAAAATTCTTGTACTGCATTATCCTCATAAAATCAAGATTTCTCCTTTAAAAAGTTGACTTCTGTACTATTTTACTTAATCATTCAACAAGGGCTGCCAACTTCCAGGGATTATCATAAGCATCAGCATTAAGTATACACAGAACTTTGATTTTCCAAATATTGCATTTGATTTATTTAAAGCAAGCTTATATCATCTATCTATTGATCAATCAATGTAGCGCAATATGGTAAAGTAACATATTAAAAAACATTTTTATAATCTGTAAATGGTATTTCAAGATTATTTTAGTTTAAAACAATTGAATTATACAATTGTCTACAATATGTTTTTATTTAAAATATTAAAGGAAAGTAAAATCATTATGCATTGAAAGGCATATTATGCTTTCTCTTGCTAAAAAATATAATGTGTATCAACTGGGAAAATACATTTTTATTTTTTACTATTTACAGATTTTTATTATCATTTAACTTGAACAATTCAATTCTGATGTTTTATATAAGTGTCAGATTTTCCAGTTACTCTTTGATAAAGAATGCAAAGGGAACATGAACAGGGATCCACCATGCTTTAGCGGAAAGTGCTCTGAGTTAAGGGTCTAAAGACATGACTGTAGTCCTGGACATCTTATTTTCAGGAATTCAATTAGCCACTCAGGGTCAGGGTTTTTTAATGTAAATTTAGTATGTTGATATGTCATCAATATAACAGGAATGTGACTTATGTAGTTTTAGCCAAGCAAAGTGTCTATGAATATTTTTTAAATGATTAACAACATACATAGACTTTTTTCTTTAAAAAGAGATTAACCTTTTTGACTTAATTCAGTTTTACTTTTTCAGGGATCAATGTTATTAAATCTTATTTACAGCAGAGTCAGATATGAGAAACTCTGATTTCAGATATTATAATTTATTTTTATCAAATAGAGAAGTAACATGTATTACATATGGTATATATGATATACATAAAAGGCATATATGATGTGTATATATGTGATGTATATATATGACATAGATATGACATATATAGTATATACATAGGGTATATACAGGATATGATATATAAGACATATATATGGTACATACATAGGGGTGTGTGTGTGTATATATATAAATCTCATATATACTCACACACATAACACAGACACTACAGGGATATGGCAAGGGAATATCTGCTCTTTATCAAAGTTGTCATCAGTATTAATGATACCTTTAATAATGTACACGCTATTTTTTACCTACGATTAATTTTTCTACTCCATTTTCATGCCACTAATGTAGCACCGAGTTCCTCTGATTGAATGCCTGGGTTGCTACAATTGGTATTCTGGACTTGACCCATAGACTTCAATCCTGGAAATGGATAATTTGTTTTCTGTGCTTGTTTTCTTCAAATGTTTGCTTTCATAATGCCATCTCTAATTTGAAATATAAACTCCCTAGGTTGGTATCCAAATCCCTTCTTTAACTACACAAATTACTTTCCTTATTCCTCAATGTGCACTCCCTGTTCCAGGCAAAATAGTCAATGAACACATCCCATCTAAATTATATTCATTTCCTTCTTCCTCTGTGTGATGTTCTGCTGTCCTGATCCAACCTTATCCAAAAAACATTTCTGGGTAAGTTCGAGGTCAACACACTCACACACTTTCTACCAGGGTAACTACAGCAGATTTTTCTCAACTACATCGACTTACAGTCAAATTTTCTTGCATATGGCCTGAATTTTACATGCCTCTTACCTCTCCAAAAAATTTGGAAAGATGCTTAGGCACAGAAAATGTATACTCTCTTAAATCTACTTCAGATAGCCCATAGAAGCTGAATGGGCTCAAAGTAAAAGCATAATAAATGTTTAGTAGACAGATAAGAAGTCAAACAATTATACAGAGGAAACATAATAGTTATCTGCTGTTCTGACTCATTAAACAATTAATTAATTTTAGGAATAAAATGTTCTGTAAATTTTATAAGAGCAATAACTGATATTCTTTTTTAATTCATAATTTTATTGTTATTTTTTGAGACAGTCTCACTCTATCACCCTGGCTGGAGTACAGTGGCACGATCTCTGCTCACTGCAACCTCTGCCTCCCCGGTTCAAGGGATTCTCACGTCTCAGCCTCTAGAGCAGCTGGGATTACAGGTGTGCACCACCATGCCTGGCTAATTTTTGTGTACTTTAAGCTTTTTTTCTTATTTTTTTGTTTTGCTTTTTGATTATATAAAACATTTACATAACTCAAATATCATAATTATATTACATGTGTATTAACATGAATACCTTTCACCCCTTTCTTTCCATTTTGTGCCTCCCTTTTATAATATATAATTTATAATATATAAATTAAATTATATATATTTAATTTAATATATATATTAAATTAAATATATATAATTTAAGTTCTAGGATACTTGTGCAGAATGTGCAGGTGGGTTACATAGGTATACACGTGCCATGGTGGTTTGCTGTACCATCAACCCGTCATCTACATTAGGTATTTCTCCTAATGCTATCCCTCCCCTGCCCCCTACCTGCTGACAGGCCCCGATGTGTGATATTCCCCCCTGTCCATATGTTCTCATTGTTCAACTCCCATTTTGGAGGTTGCTGGAAGATCAAGATTTGGTTTTGGATATGCTCTGGCTTTCTATTGGACGTTCACCTGGCAACATTGAGAAGGCAGCTGAATTAAAGTCAAAAGGTGAAGGCAGTAGTCAAAGATAAATGTATAATTTTGGCAGTCATAAGTATAAGGGTGGCATTTATGAGAGGTGAGATTGCCAAGGGAAGAAATTCAGATAGAGGAAAAAATAGGTGCAAGGACTGATCCCTGGCACACTCCATTATTCAAAGGTCAGAGAGATGAGGCTGAACCAGCAACTGAGACTGGTAAAATCTACTTGTGGAGAAGGACAATGAGAAATATGTAAGACTCTGGATTCCTGTGAAATCTTCACAGGAATCAGAAATCAGAGGAAGATAAAGTGATCAGCAGAGCCACTGGGTTAAATGTTACTAATATGTCAATAAAGTAAGATCTGAGCACTGATTATTAGATTTAAACAGTACTAAAGAGTTATGCAATGTAGCAAAAATATCGTTATTCAAATAGATATATACATTTATATATACTATTTTATCTTCACAATGAAAACATCATTTTATATCAGCAAATGCTTTTAAGTTAAGATTTATAGCATCCTGAAATCCATGTAATAATATTTCTGTCTTTTTCACAAAGGGACTACAGATGAATGCTATTCTTTAAGAACAATGCTTTTGAACTTATAATGAAAATGTTTCTAAAGAAGTGAATAAATATTATTTATTATAACATTTAATCTAACCTAAGATGTCATTTTAATATACTTCATTATTTTATGTCTCACTAAGAAAACAATCTTGTCAATTTTAACTATGACATGGCATTGGTTGTAGGATGCCATTGATTTCAGAGATATTGAAGTGAGAAAAAATAACCATTTTAAAACTTATGAAATACTATTGTATTTTCTTCTTTTTGTGACTATATTAAGATGTACATTCTATTTCTCTATCAAAGAATTAGACAAATGATAAATACTGTTATTTACAGTGCTGTTGCAGAATAAACAACTATTCTCAGCACACAACAAACACACCTAATAAACACCTTTTACCTCCCTGAGTAGAGGGCAACATTGTAAACTATTATAACCACAGAAAAAGTGATCAAAACAAGTTAAATTAGATAAACTTGTTGCATGCTGTCATTAATTATTACACATGCTACTATTAATTACATTAATATATTAACAATATATTACTGCAGACTACTATTATCATATAATTTTCAAAATGTTTATATATTAGCATATTTACTAATATTAAAAAATTAAGTTTATAAGAGCATTTATTTAATGTTTTTTAACATCAATAAAAATGTTTTATTTTACTCAATATAAAATAATAATTCATTTATTAAATAAGACTTCTGC
The DNA here is from genome assembly GCF_000001405.40 of Homo sapiens. Classification (NCBI taxonomy): domain Eukaryota; kingdom Metazoa; phylum Chordata; class Mammalia; order Primates; family Hominidae; genus Homo; species Homo sapiens. The sequence continues at coordinate 85,140,267 of NC_000007.14, forward strand.
ATTTTCTCTTTTCCTCAAATATGCAAAACTTTGATTGTGACAGAGTGAAAATGCACGGCATTAGAAATCATATAAGTTAAGGTCTGGTTTACATCCAGCCAGTAGATGTTGGTAAATTATTCTATTTTTGTGAATTACAGTTTTCTCATCTTTAAATGAAGGGACTAGTGATGATGGGATTTAAGGTGACTTACTGTTCTGATATGTACAGGATCACTTACATTAAAAAGAAAAATTGAGACACTGTTGATCATAGTCACTTCAAACATCAGCACAAATTTCTGTCCAACATTTTATAGCAGAGTTTTATCTATATCTATATCTATATATCTCTATATATAATAATCATATTATTTACTCCCTATAATCTATAGCCTACAACCTGCAAGACACGAACACATTATTAAGTGCTTCTGTTAAGGAGTCATTATTAAGAGATAAATCTATTTAATACAAGTTTCTTCTGGTTTCCCTGGGGATTGGCCTAATAATGAATGAATTAATGTATATTTTGCTGCTGCTTAATTATTCCATTAATAATAGACTGTGATTATTATAAAAGTAGTTTTTCACATTCTACCATTAAAAAAATGGTAGGTATACAAAAAGAAAATCAAAACACCATCTTCCTATCAACACCTCAGTTAGAGATGATCACTGTTAAAATCTTCTTTATTTTTCCCTATTTTCTATGCATATACATAAATGTATTTTACAACAATGAGATTATATCAATAATCTAGTTTATAAACTACTAATGAGTTAATTGTTTCCACTTTACTCATCACTATGTTTTCATTTTATTTAATATTCAGTTCACATTAAAAATTTCAGAGATGTTTCAAAACTGTTTTTATAGGTGATTTGTCCAATTTGACGTCTAATTCTAAGCACATTATAACTAGTTGCAGCACTATCATTTTTAATATAGCACACATATTAACCCCCTCTCTTATTTTTCATGACATTAACTTGTTGAAGAGGGACAAGTTCAAGTTATTCCTTTTAAAATGCTTTAACCTCTTCAGGAATTTTAACATTGTCAAAAACTTAATAATTTATTTCAAAACCATATGTCAACTAACTGCACAGTATGCCCTATTTCTCAGTTTTTATTGGAATCCAGAGAAAATTAATCATTGTACTATTGGGGATTCTGTGCTAATATTTAAAAAAAAGATTGGTGTCTTGATCTTTCTCCACTGGAAGAAGGACATGATGCATGTCCTCCCTAGCACAGGATCACTGCCCTACATGAATGACCACAAAGTCTTTCTAAGGATAGTCTTAACTATTACTGAAATTTAAATTACTTAAGTTCCCTTCTTTGTGATCTCTATAAATCATTTCTGGCACATATTCTTTCACCCATCAGAGCAAATCTAAATAAGAACATGTTCCTTTTGGGCTGAATAGTACCAGTTTACCTAAATTAATGTTTATTTAGTATCTAATAATGTTTTCTATTGAGAGAAACTGGGCTCTGTTTTCTCAAGGTTTTTGCCAAGTCTCATAAATCTGGGAAAAGGCGGTCAGTGTAACCCCTACTAATAACCAAAGTGGCCACACACAGAATAAACAAGGGCCCAGTTTATAAAGCCTTCACTGAAAGACCTTCTTGGAGTAAATTTAGATTTCTCAGTATTAATTTATGATGTGTGCAATGCACTTTGCACTCAAAAAAAGAGAATAGGAAAAAGAGTTAAAAAATGCATTAACCAAATCTTTAATGCATCAAGGTACTATTTAAATTTAATAGCCAGCAAAATAGAAGGTAAGAGAAAAAAAAAAACCAAGTTTCTGTGAACTATACAGAAGTTGGCAATGCATTTTAGTTTTGATGTATTAAAATTTCTAAGCAATTATTGACATATATCAACATTGCTGAAAAGGACAATTCGCTCAGTGTCTCTTACCAATTTCTAAATTACTCAATTGCTTATTTAATCAAGGTTTGAGATATCATCTCTCTACCAATATAATAAATTTTTGAACCAACAATATCTAGTAAAACACTGAGAAAGTACTTAGTTTTATCTACACCCTCAGTGTCAGCCAAAGTTAATTCCATATGAATTTTATTGCTTTAAAATCAAAATTTATTTCTCTAGACATGAAATTATAACCTTATTTAAAACTCAATAATAAAATCTTTCTAAAGATGTCATAATTTATTTATAAAAGACACAGATTACATCAGGGAAATAAGGCATCTAGCTCACGGTTGTCCTATTTTTATTTAATCATTCTCCATGGTAATATGGTATTTTCCCCAATTTGCATTGGATATGGATCTCAAGAGCAGAACGTAGACAAGTTTTAGGAAGAAGAATAAAGGCTTTGGATATTTGTTTTATTTCAGAGAGTCCAGAAAGAGATTCTTTAGAAGAAAGCAAAGAAGGATGGCATTTTTTTTTTTTTTTTTTTAGTGTCTAAAAACCCCATCAATGTTTTCTTTAATTTTATGGCTCCTCTTGCTTTTACACTAGAAAGATTCCCAGACTAACCACATGATGTGAATGGAATAACCTTTTCTCTCTTCGGCTGGGTGATGGTTTCTCAAAATAAATACAACCCATCTTATACTTTTTCTTTTCTGAATATGTCTTTCTTGAGCCATATCCATGAGTTGAAAAGACTTTCTCTGGGAATCCCAAATGCTGAGACAATGCCATCTTAGTTAGGAAAAGTAATGCCAAGAGCAATTCTACCTTAGACAACTTACTAAACTTTTTTATCTTTTCAATAAATATGGCTTTCATATGTTTACTCATAATGCAATAATTATTTCTAATAAGACAAACTTACAATTAGTTATTCACAATAATGACAATGAGTACCTATCACATAGCTATCATGGTACAACACACAATTAGGTATGAAACTGATATGACATGGTACCTGCATATAAAATCAGGTCATATGAGAAAAGTGATTAGCAGAATGTCTAACATATATGCACTAAAGTAAATGTTAATACTTTTATTATAATTCCAGTGATTTCAAAGTGATTAAAAATAAGAATAGCATAAAAATATACAGTCATGCTTTAACAATGAGAATATGTTCTGATAAATTTGTCATTAGGTGATTTCATCATTGTTCGAACATCATAGAGGGAACTTAAACAAACCTAGATGGTACAGCCTACTACACATCTAGACTATAGGGTATAGCCCATTGCTCCCAGGCAACAAATCTGTACAGCATGTTACTGTACTGAACACTATAACCAATTGTTACACAATGGGAAGTATTTATGTATTTAAACTTATCTAAACATAGAAGAGATACAACAAAAATAAAATATTATAATCTTAGGGGAACACCATCCTATGTGTAGTCTGTGAGTTGATGGAAAAGTTGTTATGCAGCACATGACTGTAATATATAGTAATATAATCCAGTTGTATAATATCGTCTAGTGCTCTCTAGTAAAAATATAATATGAGACATGTAATTTTTTTTTTTTTGAGATGGAGTCTTGCTCTATCACCCAGGCTGTAGTGCAGTAGCATGGTCTTGGCTCACTGCAATCTCTGCCTCCTGGGTTCAAGCTTCAGCCTCCCGAGTAGCTGGGACCACAGGCATGCGCCACCACACCTGGCGAATTTTTGTATTTTTAGTAGAGACGGGGTTTCACCATGTTGGCCAGGCTGGTCTCAAATGCCTGACCTCAAGTGATCCGCTCACCTCTGCCTCCCAAAGTACTGGGATTACAGGCATGAGGCACCGAGCCTGGCCCGAGACTTGTAATTTTAAATTTTCTTACAGTTATATATGAAAGTAAAAAGTAACAGATAAAACCAATTCTTATATATTTAATCCAATATATAATCATTTTAACATGTATACAATATAAAATTATTAATCAAAAAACCATTTTCATGCTAAGTCTTCAGATTCAGGTGTGCATTTTACATTTTCAGTTTTTCTCTATGTGGATGCTGAATTTTATTAGCAATAAAAATTGGTTTGTATTCTGATTTCATAAAATTTACAACTAAAAGAGGAGATTGAATTTACTCAAGTTGTTTCAAACAAATGTAAAAGTTTTCTGATAACTGAATCGAGTATCATTTATTAAATTTAAATTAATTAAATTAAATAACATAAAAGTTGAATTTAAAGCTAGCTTTGAAACTAAAGCAAGATGTAAATACCCACACACTTCATCCTCTTCCCCAGAGGTAGAAAATATATTTTATGTGAGATAGAGGGGAAAGATTCTCAGAATAGAGATATATTTTTTGCCTTATGCTTCATGTAATAGAAAAATGAACACAATTCTCACAACCATCAGGATTTCCGTGAGGATCTTTATCAGGGTTTCTAAGAATTTATACACATATATACATTTTTTCCTTTGGGAACTGGCCTGCAATATCCAACATTTAAGTCAGCCTGGAGCCCAAAATTAAAGCTGTGTTTGTTCTTATTTGTTCTCTTCCCCTTGCCTCTAGTATGATATGTCTGAATGGTGTAAAGCAAATAATAATATTTCATAGAATTTGATTAGGATTTATTATATATTCCTACTTTAATCCCAGCCCAATGATTAACATTTCAAAGATAGAGAAATTGTCATCATAAATTAATCTGGCTTTGGTGTCCACTGTATTTATCTAAGGAGAACAGATAAGTTTCAGAGAGAAATCCTGGAGCAGCTGGATGATATACACAATTCTAGCTTGGCTTTATTTGTGTTTGGTTTGGTTTAATTTTATTTGTTTATAAAGCACGGAGGAAAAATAAAATACTTGAAACCTCATTAGGAATGTTTCAAGGGCTCTGAATTATGAATAGAAATGAGAGCATCACAAAAATCTAATTCCAAATTTTTAAACTCTTTCTGGAATGATGCCATTCAAGTATGGGAATCATGTTGACAGTGTTTTTTTAACCCTTATTTTATGCCAGTCTGGCATAATACATGTCACAAAAGATGTGTTAAATTTATTATGTAAAACCAAAAAAAAAATGCGTGAATGAAAAAGTGAAGTCAAATATAAAGTGTAAGGTGACATACATATGATGGTCTGAACAATATATCAAAAAGCCTTTAATGTTTTATTGGTTTGGGGGGGATAGATAAAAGTACAATATTTAAATCAAATAATTATATAAGAAGCAGAAGCTGGCATATTTTTATGCTATCATTGTTAGTTATTTTTAGTTATTTGGTATTTAAGTACTATATAATAAATGGGGAAATGCCATTCTAAAAGCTATGTTGCTGGAATCTTGGAAGACTAAATCTACAACTCATAGATAAGAACTCCCATTAAAGGAACAGGAAATTATCAGGAATCACATCTTGTCACCAAGCAAGATGATAGAGTATGTTTAATAATACAAAAAGCCAAAAAAAAATCTGGTGGAAAGAAGGATCTTTATTGCAGAGAAATTATAAGGCATTTGCAAAGAGAAGTGATTTCTTATTCTCAAATACAAAAGTTTGAGATTAAAAACACACTGTCATCCCTCAAGATTCGTGGGATATTGATTCCAAGATCCTTCTTGGATACCAAAATCTGCTGATACTCAAGTCTCCTATATAATGTGATGTTGTATTTGCATATAACCTACTCACCTCTTCCCCTATACATTTTTTTCTTCTATAAACTTTAAATCATATCCAGATTACTTATAAAACCTAACACAATGCCTACACATAATTTCATTCCCTTGGATTCAGCATACAAATTAGTGGGCAGCAAATTTAAGTTTTGCTTTGTGAAACTTCAGATATTTTTTTTCCCAGATATTTTTGATCTATAGTTGGTTGAGTCCACAGGTGTGGAGCTCACGGATACAGAGGGCTAATTGTACATACAAAGAAAAACCAATTGGTATAAATAGATAATTCAATCTTTCTTATCCAATCGACTTTATATTTGTATGACATCTTACAGTTCTTTAATGAGATATATACACATATGTATACATATATGTATTTTTACACATACATACAATCACATTTCACTTTTACTAGTAAAAATCCTTAGCCAGGAGTGGCGTCTCACATGTGTAATCTCAGCACTTTGGGAGGCTGAGGCGGGTAGATTACTTGAAGTCAGGAGTTCCAGAGCAGCCTGGCCAACATGGTGAAACCCCATCTCTACTAAAAATACAAAAATTAGCTGGGTGTGGTGGCAGGACCTGTAACCCCAGCTACTCGGGAGGCTGAGGAAGGGGAATCCCTTGAACCTGGGAGGCGGAGGTTGCATTGAGCCAAGATTGGGCCACTGCACTCCAGCCTGGGTGACAGAGTGAGACTCCATCTAAAAAAAAATATATATATATATTTTTTACTTAACAATTCTGCATTTAAGATATGCAATTGTATTGGTAAAAAGAAATAAGTCATATTTTCGAAAGAAAATAAAAACTAGCCTAATAGCAGGTATCACAGATAAAAGAAATGGAGAAATAAGACACAAGCACCAGTCTTCCGTTTACAAATATATCTTTCAGGAAAAATGTACAATAAAATCTCCAGATATGTTTTGATGATGACAAAGCAGAAGACTCCAGTGAATGGATGCAGGCTACAAAAGGATGCTGCAGATTTGTGGGGATACTCAAAGGAGTAGCAAATTTAATATGAACAATTCAAGGGAGTAGCTTCAGGAATAGAAAGTCTAAAAGAAAGAATGTTGGTACAGCAATTAGGAGGAAGTAAGTGAACCGGAAAAACATAGTTCATTCCTCCAGAGAATGGGCTCATCTTTCCGTATACCACAGTATCAACATGAGATGGTCACAGTTCTAGTCACAGAAGTGGAATTTTCTGTCCATCTTTCTTTCTTTTCTTTTTCTTTTCTTTTTTTTTTTTTTTTTTTTTTTTTTTGAGACGGAGTTTTCCTCTTGTTGCCCAGGCTGGAGTGCAATGGCACAATCTTGGCTCACCGCAACCTCTGCCTCCCGGGTTCAAGTGTTGCTCTTGTCTCAGCCTCCTGAGTAGCTGGCATTACAAGCATGCACCACCATGCCCGGCTAATTTTGTATTTTTAGTAGAGACAGGTTTTCGCCATGTGGGCCAGGCAGGTCTCAAATGCCTGACCTCAAGTGATCTGCCCACCTGTTGGTCAGGCTGGTCTCAAAAACCAACCTCAGGTGATTCACCCACCTCAGCCTCCCAAAGTGCTGGGATTACAGGCTTGAGCCACCATGCCTGGCCTCTGTCAGTCTTTCTAATAATCCCTGTTTCTAACTATCTGTAAATATATCTATCTGTAGATGTGCTGTTAGCAACCTGGTTAAAAAGCAATTTAATACCAGTAATGCAAAATACAATGCCTTGATCAATTTAGAAGCAAAATCTTGTATCTATAAATATATTTTTCTGATATTTAGATAACAGAATTTCATGAAAATCTTAAGAATCAATTTTTTCAAGTACCTTATTATTTAAATATTATTTATTTATCCTAATGCTTTAGTGTCATTGATATTGTTTCACTTACCTATATATCTGCTAATTTATTGTTTTCTGATCTTGTAGTTATATATGAAATAACCAGGCTCAGTCCTGGATATACAACATAGGAGAAGTACCCTTCCTATTATTTCCTAACAGCCTAATTCATTTGACCAACTCCCTGCCTCATCTCCCTATCAATTTTCAGCAGTCTTTCAACTGGGAGTGCACCCTGTCCCTAACATGCCAGCCCACTCCACACTAGCTTTGGGTTTTATTCTCTCAAACACCCACTGCCTAGTAGGTGTAAACAATTTCAACCAATGAACAAAAGTTAATCAAATTATCTCTTCTATGGTCAGAGATCACAATGACAATCTATTTAAAGGTATGGAAACTTGATCAGCAAAGTAGGTTCTAGGAAATGAAGATTAAAAATAAACATGGAAAAAATGAATAAGTAAAAATTTGAATTTAAAATCACAAGTGTCAGAAACAGCTACTAAGTATCACTATTAATGATGATCATTAATTAACCCTCCCTGAGATCTGTGAGAATTCTCTGTCATCATATCTTGTTTTCCTTTTCACTTACAAAACAACTTATATTTTTTACTATTCATCTTAATATGACTTGTTTTAGTGTTCTGTTTTGAGCTTTCAGTGTGGACACTGATGGCACTCACAGTTTACTAAGCAGGAAATGGTTAACATCATCTAGTTCAAGGACTCTCATATTTGAGTTCTTCTAATAATCCAGATAAGATTTCTACTAACGTCCTTAGCTGAGAGTAAATACACATTTCTATAAGATACTTGTTTTTAAAAGGAAACAATGTTTATATAGTTAACTGGGTTACTGAAACACAAAAATGAGATAAAACGAAAAATTAGTTCAAACCTCCTTCCTTGGAGCACCCCCAGGTTTCTTTGCAGTTAGGGTAGACTCATGAGAAGATATAGTTATCTTCTCAGTACAATACATCTCACAGGAACTGTTAAAACAAGTAGCTCTTCTGAATATAGTTAGAAACTTTGAAAAAAATTAGTTAAATCAGTCGCGGTAACATCAGATAATGTCTCTAATTATATATGTGCGGTGTGTACATGTGTGTGTGCATGTATGTGTGTGTGTGTAGATTTTTTTTGTTGTGGGTAACAGTGCTATATAAACATTTATATTGCTTAGTATTTGAGAAACTTTCAGGTGATTTTAAGCTTTTAAACAGGTTAAGCTTTTAACTTAGTTAAATTTTTTTAGAACTTTAGAAACTTTTTAAAATAATATTTTATTTTTCTAACATTTACAATAAAATAAATGAACAGGAAACACAAAATGAAACCATTTGCACAATAAAAGGTATTAACAGGAAACACAAAATAACACCAAATCTTAAAATGTTATGTCAAAATTTAAAATGTCTTAATAAACAGTGATAATATTATTTTCTTAAAAATACAAAAGTAACACTTGGCCAGGCGTGGTGGCTCATGCCTGTAATCTCAGCACTTTGGGAGGCCAAGGCAGGTGGATCACCTGATGTCAGGAGTTCAAGACCAGCCTGGACAACATGGCGAAACCCTGCCTCCCCAAATAAATAAGTAAAAATACAAAAAGTTAGCCAGGCATGGTGGCACGTGCCTGTAATCTCAGCTACTTGGGAGGCTGAGACAGGATTGCTTGAACCCAGGAGGTTGCAGTGAGCCAAGATCGTGTCACTGCGTTCCAGCCTGGATGACAGAGCAAGACTCTGTCTCAAAAAATAAATAAACAGCAAAAAATGAAAACAAACAAACAAACAAAAACCAAAAGTAACACTTGCCTCAAACAATGATGATGGTCTCATTTATCATCACTGTAAGTGCTAACATCAAATTTTCAGTCACAGACTTTGTGATATTATAAATCGTAGGGAATATTTGCCATAATGGACTGAGAAAAATCAGAAAACAATGACATTAAAGAAGATACTGAGCTTTTATAGTAGACTTACAGTGCTTCCATTCACTTCCACCATGTCAGAGGCTATTGGACTTCTCAATTAAGATTCAGGGGCTACGATTAACATTAGCATCTAATAGTCTAACACTGTGATTCCAAAACTATGTGCAAGACACTCTGGAGTAATACAGTGAACTCATCAGGAATGCTGTAAGATATTTTAAAATTTCAAGATAAACACAACAATACTCACTATTTATCAGACACTGTATTAACCACTAGTCAAGCTATTTCTTAATTTTAACATTCAAGGGGGTTACATTCAAGGGGTCATAGCCATGTGAAGTTGGGTTCTTAGTAAAGCAAGTATCCCCAAAAGTCCTCATGGAACAGGTACTAAGGATCTCAGTGTTCAATCTGATTCCAAGGTTTGAGAAGTTGTACGGTGCCCAACACATACGCACTCACCATTAGTAAGTAATTCATATGTAATTTAAGAATATTTAAATTTAAAACATGTAAAACTTTTTTTTGTTTTAATTTATGTTGTCAGGACATAAATACTTATTTAGTTGTTTGGCCTTAACTGTAATAGTCAGAATTCTTGGTATTTGTTTGTTGGCCTAGAGGTGTGATGAAAAAAATTTTGAGCTGTTACGGTACTAAGAACTGAAAATCTTGGAAAGATATTTCTGTTCTAAATACTTTTCTAGAAATATATATATATATATATATATTATATATATATACACACACACATATATTTACAGGGATATATATATATACACACACACACATATATTTACAGGGATATATATATACACACACACATATATTTACAGGGATATATATATATACACACACACACACACATATATTTACAGGGATATATATATTATATATATAGAATATATATATATTCTGTAAATAGAATCACTTCCCAAATCAAACCTGAAACCTGAAGGAGAATTTGTGTATGCAATGTACTAATCAATTTACTGCTTACATCTTAATGTTCATTTTAACTCCTTTACTCTTCAGTATCTTCTAGCTTTTGCTACATTTATACCTAGAAGATTATAGTCATCGCAGCTTTTCTATATTTCAGTTCTCTGAGTTTATGTATAAAGTAATGAAGTAGGTAAGACCTGGCATAACAATGCCCTTATTGTGGTGCCACAATTAAGCCACACTGGAAAGGATCCAAAGATGACTTTCTTTACATTGAATTCCCTCTGTGGTGAATGGTGAATGGTGTTATTTTGTGTTTCCTGTTAATTCCTTTTATTGTAAATGTTAGACAAACAAAATAATATTTTAAAACAATGTTTCTAAAGTTCTAAAGCAATTTAACTCAGTTAAAAGCTTAACCTATTTAAAAGCTTAATATCACCTGAAAGTTTCTCAAATACTAAGCAATATAAATTTTAAACAGCACTGTTACCTACAATAAAAAAAATCCACACACACACACACACACACACACCGCACATATATAATTAGAGACGTTATCTGATATTACTGAGACTGAAAGTCTAGTAAAACTATGTAAAAAAAATTGCTGCAAAAACCCTATGTAAACCTGAATAGAGAAAGTGTTGTCAACCCAAGAAAATGGTCCATTTTCTCATTCCTTAATTTGGGCTTGTATAGTCTGTCCTCATTTCTTTTTTCATTCTTCACTTTGGAAATCTTCAAAATAAACCAGGTAAACATCTCCAAGTTTATACATGTATAGAAGATTTCTGGAAATTTTTCCCAACCCCAAATTAAAACAAAGCAAACAAAAACAGTGTGATACTCTTAAAAAACAGTAGCAGATTATTTTCAAAATCAGTTCCAGAAAGAATATAGTTCTTAATCAGAACTAGGGAGTTCTTAATCAGAACTAGGGATTAGACAATATATATTTCTATGCTGGTTAAAATAGAGCACCGTAGTTGATGTGTGTATGCATGTGTGTATGCGTGTGTGTGTGTGTGTGTGTGTGTGTGTGTGTGATCAAGGTATGCAATTCTCAGTATATTATAGTGTATTTAGTACTATTTCTTTCATATTCTCAAAGCATCTTGTACTGGTAGAGCTTTTTGTGGTAATATTTTCTGTTTAGTTCATCACATTGACCTGAAGTAGAACTTAAACTATTATATTAGAAGAAAATTTTAAATTCCTATTTTAAAATTCCAAATTTTAGACTGTCTGTAAAAAAAAGTTTTTTGACCTTACTTTGATAAAAATAATGAAAAAGTCCACAAAACTTTTTTGCAAAGAACATCTCTTACAATTGTATTATATACCTTGAGATGCTTTCTTTATTTTCTAATTATAGAATAGTTCATTATCTTATAGCTTCTTGACTGAATATATGAAAAAATTGTTTAAATTTCATAATCTTTGATTTCATAACCACTGTACAATTTTGTCTCCCTTTGATTTATTAACCATTTATCTCTTCCTTGTCTTGTTTTTATGTTTTATTTTATACCTATCTTTACTTGTAGGACAATATTTCTTTGTTCAGAGTGAGGGTTCTTTAATCTTTGGTTTTGATTATTTCAAGTACCTGTTAAACAAATTTTACGGTAATGTGTAAATAAGTAATGAATGAATTACCTCTTACTGATTGTTAGAATAAGCCAAAGATGCATGTAAAAGAATCACTGTGGGCCATAAGCAAATAAAAGAGGTATCAATATTTACAATTAAATTTGATCTCCGATCACCAAATTAAATTATATGGTAGTCAAAAGACATCATTGTTCTTGCCCTAAAATTAATAGTTTATAATCTGAGGACAACACTATGTCTGATTTGTGGAAGAAGACAAGTTAACTACGATGAAAGTGATCTCAGGCTAAGTGCCTAAAATGTTAATCACAATCTTATAGTAAAAGAAAAATGAGAGCTATTAATTATGCCTATCAAACAATGAAACAACACAACAATAACAGAATATGATGTTGATTTTTTGCATAGTAATAACTAAAAATAATAGAGCATTGCCAAGATTACATACAAGCAATGTGTCTTCAAACATAGATGAATAATCTCATCAAAATAATTTATATTGAAAGAGTATATTTTAGAAAACAAATAAAAACATGTATTAGGATTAGAAACTGATAAATTACTTGGTGCTTACATGGTGTATTTTGTTATTCTATACAACAAATAAAATAGTAGAAGGGACTACCATAATTGTTCATCTTTAGTTCTGGAGCTAAAGCAAAAGTAGTCACTGATGCAAGTCAAAGTCAAGTCTAGCAGCCTAAGGAACTGGGACACTGTGACATGTTCAAATCAAGCAATCACAAGAAAGCTATGCCTGCTAATTCTGAGAGAGGTAAATAACTATTTGCAGATGATTCCTAACCTAATGGCAATGTTATAATGTATATTCATCCCTTGATACACACCAAAGATTGGTTCCAGGAACTCTGCCATTCTCATATGCCAACGTGTGCAAAATTTCCCACAGTCCTCCCTGCAGAGCCCTACTATACAAAAAGACTGCCTTTGGTATAAGCAGGTTTTGCATCCTGAGAATACTGTATCTGTTTGTTTGAAAAAATAAACTCTAATATAAGTGAACCCACCCAGTTTAAACTCATGTTGTTAAAGGGTCAACTGTATATAACTAACAGGACTCAAAGAATTACAATTACTTTACGCTATTTTTGTTTCAAGAGTCATTAAGATGATACAGCAGAGACCCAATCATTATTTGAATTCCAACATCTTGGAGTGATCATGTCTAGAAATAACATTGTATGTAGTATGGACATAGATTATCCAAAGTTTGCCTTAACAAACTGTCATGTAGAGTGCTTCCTCTCCAATCACATCAGCCCAAGGACAGTGCATTAGAATTATTCAGAGAAACAGAACAAGTAGGAGAAATGCATCTATCTATCTATCTATCTATCTATCTATCTATCTATCTATCTATTGAGGTTTATTTAAGAGATTGGCTCACATAATTATTGAGGCTGATGAGTCCCAAGATCTGCAGTTGGTAAGGTGAAGATCCAGGAGAACCAACAGTGTATGTTCAAAAGCCTGGCAACCAGGACAGCAGATGTTACAGTTCTAGTCCAAGTGTAAAGACCTGAAAAACAGGAGAGATAATACTGTAGTTCCAGTCCAAACACCTTCAGGTTCCAGGACCAGGAAAGTCAGATGTTTCAGTTCAAGTCCAAAGGCAGAAAAATAAATATCCCAGCTCAAGACAGCCAGGCAAGAGGAAATTCCCTCCCACTTGTGGGAATGTCAAGCTTTTTGTTCTATTAGGTCTTCAACTGATTGGATGAGACCCACCAACATGACAGACGGCAATCTGCTTTACTCAGTCTACCAATTCACATGTTGATCTTATCCAAAAATGCCATCTCAGACAAATCCAGAATATTTGCCCAAATGTCTGGGCACCCCATGGCCCAGTCAAGTGGACACATAAAATCAACCATTACAGAAACCCTTATCTGCTCCTTACTGCTTACAGTGCCTTACTGCTTGCTTCTGCTTGCCTAACCTCCAAGCCATCATATTTCCTGTGCCTGCTAAACTAAGGAATGTTCAGACACTACAGAGAATTCCCAAGTTCCAAACTCTCCCCAAGCCCAGTTTTCTCAGGGCTGGCTAGGACATACATTTGTCAAAGCTCAGTTATTAATAACTCTTAGTGGTTGACAACATTTACCTTTCAATAGAAATCTTATTTTATTTTTTAGAAAGATGGAACAAACATGGATGTTCCCATGGAAGGGAGCCTCAGGGAAATGGGCAGCGAATCATACTCTTGGTATCCCATCAAGCCTCATGCAAATCCTACCATGTTGTGGGGCGGGGGTTGGGGGATGTCTGTTACTTTCTCTTTCTCTGTACCAAGGCTGACCAGACATTTACTTATTAACACCTTGGAAATGAACATGTATGAAATGCACTTGCACAGTTTGTGACTTTTATTGCAAATGAAGTAATGGTCAGGATGGCAGTGATTTGAAATACAGTAGAACAGATTGTCTCCTTGTTTATAGGAAACTAGAAGTGCAGTATAAAGTGCACTTTGTAAACGTACCAGAGAGAACCATAAAACTGAGTAAGTGCATTGACTAAAATACAACACAAGGTGATAAGTCTAGGTTGGCCCTAAATAATAGACAACCATAAAAGATAATTAGGTTTGAACACATAATCTAAAGAGAAAAGAGTAAAACCTTTTTACAAAAAATATGCATAAGTCTGAAAAGAATTTAGCTAAGCTCAGATGTCATTATTTTTAAAGGTATTCATTTAAAGATAAAGCATAACTTGTCTTTCTATATATAAAGAATTGTGTCATGTTATTACTGTCATCTCCACAGTTTTTCAAATTGATTGCTTTAAAAATAATGTAATCATCTTGCATTGCAAAGTTTTTTCAAACATCTTATTATAAAAAATTCACACATGCAGAAAAGTTGAAGTATACAGAAAGCATCTGTACACCCACACCTAGATTCTACACTTTTTTTTTTGACATTTGCTTTATTATCACACTATGCATTCCTGCCAGTCCATCTGACTTAAAAAAAGTTTTTCAAAGCAGGACAATGATATCCATATACGTTACCCCTAAACACTCTACCAGAATAAAAATTTTGTATTTTCTCTTGTAAGTTAAATATATATATTGCTAAGAGATAAAAATATATAACTAAATAGATGTCTTACTGTGCACTACATCTCTTGGATGCTAGTTACTTATCCATTAGAGTTTAGTGTTTATGAGGCTATCATCTTAGTTTTAATCTCCCTGATGGGTTCATTAGTTATTTTGTTTTCCACAGGTACATATTAAACCCCTTATAACATTTAGTCATACTGAAACTTAATGTATTTCCAACAGGGGTGTAACATGCAAAAGTACACAAATCTTAAATAGTAGACAAATCAGGGAACAGGCCCAATAGGTGGTGTTAATTAAAGACATTTTGCAAATGATTCACTTATACATTTAGGTACTATAAAACAGCTTATTTACCTTTTAGAGATGTCATACATACATATATTCATGTTTTATTTTAGTTATATATTTATTTCTAATGAGGGTTAGCTCTTCAACAGAATGCAAATTATAAAACATTTAATATTGCCAGAGATAATATTTGCATTTATCATAGAGCAACAAGTAATGAGCCCTTGATATCTCATGAAGTTGTGGCACCTCAGTCAACAACAATTAAATGCCGAGCTCTTGAAAATATGAATGAACAATATGACTTATGTCACACTTACACAATTCCCTTTATTTTAGCTGATGTGCTTTTAATTCCAAATGTGCACTGGCCTATCCAATTATTAATTATTTTCATTTTTCTTCTGATAATTGTTAGTTTTATCACCTATTTGTTACATATATACATATTAGCTTAGAAATGTAGACAAAATAATGTTTTAATTTATCTTGCATTATGCTGCAATATAAGTGATTTTTTTTTTTTTTTTTTTGAGATGGAGTCTCGCTCTGTCACCCAGGCTAGGGTGCAGTGGCAAGATCTCGGCTCACTGCAACCTCCACCTCCTGGGTTCAAGTGATTCTCTGGCCTCAGCCTCCTGAGTAGCTGGGACTACAAGCGCGTGCCACCACACCTGGCTAACTTTTGTATTTTCAGTAGAGATGGGGTTTCACCACATTGGCTAGGATGGTCTCTATCTCCTGAACTCATGATCCACCCCTTCGGCCTTCCAAAGTGCTGGGATTACAGGCGTGAGCCACCACACCTGGCCACAAGTGATTCTTAAGATAATAAAGCAATCTCCAACTTCAATGTATTGCCTAGAATTCTAGAGCTTGATTCTTCCAACTTAAAGGAATAATCGAATTTTCCAGAGTATAAAGTTATAAAAATCACATTTCAGAAAAATAATATCGCTTTAAGACCTATGGTCTTAACTACATTTTAATTTGGTATTGAAAAATTTTAAGAATTTATCCTAATTTATGAGCAAATTTCATCTCCTTATGAGTTGCTTACATTTTCCACCCAAGTCATCATCAATAGGCCATTTATATTCATGAAATACAGAGGACACACAAAGAAAGAGAGCTGACACAGATTAAAAAGTAATCTTTTAAACAGGCTCTTTATGAAGTAAATCAACCTGTTTACCAAAAACACCACAAAATACCATTAGCATAACAGACAGTAAGAAGAAAATAGTTATATCATGCAAATATCTTATAGCCCACAGACAGTTTATGGAAATCCCCACAAGAAAAATAAAACAAAAAGTAATGGTTCTAAACATGCTTTGTTTGGAATAATGATGCCATTAACACTTGGCACTACAGTGCCCAAATGGAAGTGTGTTTGCATAATGGTTTACTCTACTCTTTATAAAGATAAACACAGAAGGTCACTGTGCAGAGTCTGACGTGCTTCAGGAATAAATGGCACTTTGAAATACAGAATGTCTCACTGTTTCTGGCACAGCCTACCTTTTTAGTCTGTTTAAAAAAAAATAGACCTAGGGTTTTATTCTATTTCTTGTTTTTGTAATAATAAAATTTCATCCTTATTTGCTTAGATGGATAAAGAAAGTCAATACTAAAAATGTGGCAGTTAATAAATAAATTATGTTAACAATATCAAATATGGTAACAGTTTTGATATCAATGTTAAAATATTAGCATAGTATAATAAAAATAACATGTATGAAAGATTCTGGTTATATTCAAAATATTAACCAAAAGATTTTTGTTTCTCCAAGTGAGACTAAATTCCTGGAAAGATGCTTTTATAAGTTGACAATTTGGTATGCTTAACCAGCTCCCCATTGTACATTTTATGTGTCTTTTCTTCACAGTTTGACCCTTGCCTACACTTTATGTATACTGTCTAAAATGTGCTCCCTATAATACTCTGATGTCTGAGCTTTTCGCACCATGTCCCAATATGATCTCATATTTCTCTTGTTACTTGTATTTTGCAAGGCTTATAAGTAAATAAATTGCATCAGTTTATGCCGTACATACATCAACATTGTTTGGGGAGAACAAAGCAAAACAAAACAAGCCAACAAAGGCTCTGCTGGGCAGAGGTGTAGCTCTTCTCCTCAACAACACCCAACAGTCTTCACGTTTTCACTTCAGTCGCCCAAAGCACATGGATTAGTATCATTATTGCAGGAATTCAGGGACCCTGAACGTAGGGACCGGCTGAAGTCATGGCAGAAGAACATAAATTGTGAAGATTTCATGGACATTTATTAGTTCCCCAAATTAATACTTTTATAATTTCTTACGCTTGTCTTTACTGCAGTCTCTGAACATAAATTGTGAAGATTTCATGGACATTTATCACTTCCCCAATCAATACCCTTGTGATTTCCTATGCCTATCTTTACTTTAATCTCTTAATCCTATCATCTTCGCAAGCTGAGGAGGATGTATGTCACCTCAGGACCGTGTGATTATTGCGTTAACTGCACAAATTGTTTGTAAAGCATGTGTGTTTGAACAATATGAAATCTGGGCACCTTGAAAAAAGAACAGGATAACAGCAGTGTTCAGGGAACAAGAGAGATAACCTTAAACTCTGACTGCCAGTGATCTGGGCAGAACAGAGCCATATTTCTCTTCTTTCAAAAGCAAATAGGAGAAATATTGCTGAATTCTTTTTCTCAGCAAGGAACATCCCTGAGAAAGAGAATGCATCCCTGAGGGGAGGCCTCGAAAATGGCCGCTTTGGGGACGGCTGTCTTTTATGATCATAGCTGTGGAATGAAATAAGCCCCGGTCTCCTGTAGCGCTCCTAGGCTTATTAGGACGAGGAAATTCCTGCCTAATAAATTTTGGTCAGACCGATTGTCTGCTCTCAAACTCTAGTTCCTGATAAGATGTTATCAATGACAATGCCTGCCTGAAACTTCATTAGCAATTTTAATTTTGCCCTGGTCCTGTGGTCCTGTGATCTCACCCTGACTCTGTTTACCTTGTGATATCTTATTACCTTGTGACACATGTGATCTCTGTGACTCACACCCTATTCGTACAATCCCTCCCCTTTTGAAAATCACTAATAAAAACTTGCTGGTTTTGCGGCTTGCGGGGCATCACGGAACCTGCCCACATGTGATGTCTCCTCTGGACACTCAGCTTTAAAATTTCTGTCTTTTGTACTCTGTCCCTTTATTTCTCAGACCAGCCAACACTTAGGGAAAATAGAAAAGAACATACATGAAATATCAGAGGTGAATTTCACCTGATATATCATCAGAATTTTTTCTGTTTCACTAAGATCAGAAACTCAGAATTTCTGGCCCTTTCCACAAATTCCTCATTGTGACTTATTTCTCCCCTTCTCACTGACTGTGTCTATTGTGTCTAACTGCTTTGTTACCCACATCACTCTCTTTACCATCACCTCAGCTACTGGTGGGACCCAACACCTTTAGTTCCTCAACCCCTTTCGTCTGTTTTTTCCTCATACTTATCTTAGACCCTGATATTCTCTTATTTTGACAATGACTGGCTGCACTTTCAGCTAAAAATTTGTAACCTAGTATAAACACATAAATCAACTGTCAGTAAGGGTAGAGGAGGGTGTTAAATTGCAGTTTCCAGGCCATCATCTTCAAATTTTTCATTGCAGCAAGTCAAAGAGGGGTGATAAGGAATCTGGATTAATCATGAAAACACTCCAGGTGGTAGGACAGAATCTACCCCTTTTTAACAGTCATTGACTTTAAAATTGGTTCCCAAATCTAAAGTGCCAGACTCAAATTTTCCTCTAACTCTAGTCCTCATCTGTCTTTATTACCTAATTCATGAACCATTACATTATTTTCCATCTTCTGTCACTTCCATCCTCTGGTCATATACAAACCACATGTGTACTCTGAAGGTGTTTTGATGCAATTGATTTGGTAGGCAATGGGGAGCCATGTGTTGTTTTATAAACAAGAAAGACAAACTTTTCAAGTGGTCAAGGTTCTTCTCAATATTATCCAAAAATTTATTATGGCTTTATCTCTAACTAGGCTTCTAATTTGTGAATAAAATGATGTCTTATTCTCACTTAATCATCGTAGTGCTGAACTCCACTCCAGTTATGGGTGAGAACACAGTGACAGAATGTAAATGATTTGATGTAGCTGCAGAGCTATTCACTTTGACAGCAGGCTATCTAATACCAGTGCATACTCTTTCCTTCACACTGTCCTGCAGATAGTAGGATTTCAGTAACCATTATATGACTGGAGGAAGGAAGCAAGAAAGATAGGAAAGAAGGAAGTGAAGGAAGAGAGAATGACCAACTAGTGTTCAAGAAACACAAGCCATAAGTTCTACGGTAACTACTCCAGAGGTATCATATCTACCACATCTCTCCATGAACTATATCATTTGTGGATTAAAAACTGAACTGTTATTTTATTGAACTGCAAACAGTAATACTGAAAATAATATATATCTCAATTCCACTTTGATAAAATTGAGTTTTCAAGCCTAACAGGATAATGTCAAGCTACTTATTGATCTGATAGAAAACAAAAAGGTAAGGCATTATATAAATACAAGTAAATACGTGTTTTTTTTACCATTGAAGTGTGAACGAAATTGATATGGTTAAGAGATGGATGAACATGCAGTCAGAATGACAGAGATTACTATCAACCCAGCATGAAAGTATAGGACTGGGAAGATAATGGGTCTGATGAAATATAGAAAAAAAAATAAGGAAGTCAATAAACACATGAATAAGATCTGAGTCAGGCAGAATGAGTAAAATAAATACTATAAAGAACAAGAGAGACAGAGTCATAGTGAAAGAGAGAGAGAAATTGAAACTGAGATTTCCACGATGGAAAAAGAATTAGCCAGAAGGCAGCTTAGGCAAATGGGGGCGATGCGGTTTGCCTGACTCTCTGCCTGTAGAAACACGCATCATCATTCTAATGAGAACCTTGGGGAACAAGAAAACATCATAGCAGCACAGGAGGTAATGGGACCCTCCTAAACAGGACTGGTGGGACTGCACCTGGTGTTCAGACCCAGGCTTCTCATTATCCAAAAGGTGCAGGGAAGCTGGAAGGAGTTCAGAGACATGATGGAAAAATGATTAAGATACAAAGAAAGATGATTTCTGATGGAAGATTAAAGCACTAAAGAAGCTCAACTTGGATGAGCAACAAGTTGATAGACAAAGTACCTCTCTGCAAACCAGTAAAAGATATCAAAACTCTGGGGGAAGAAAGTATTATTTAATTTTTTACTAGGAGAAGAGGTTTATGAAGAATAATTGCAATGAAGCAGAAAAGAAGTCAACCCTAAAATTAGGAAGTGAAGTATAAAAATGCAAGCAATGACTACTTGCACGTATGGAGGAGGGGAATGGATAACATCAGTCGGACAATGTAAATAAAATACAGGCAACTTGACCACACAGAGGGTGACCATGATTCTGGAAGACAACACAATCAACATAAAATAAGGAAATATCAGAAAATTAATAATAATTCAAACTCAATTTCCAAAGGGACTAAAAATTTTAGCTTTATCTTCCATGTTTTGTTGTTACACTAGTCTTCACCTGAAATAGTAAATTAATTCAGCAGTTTCCAGAAGGGAACTAAATAAAATCAAATAATTGGTCCTTTTAACATGGCTTACAGTGATTCTTTGTGTTGGTTTGCAAATTAATATTTTAAAATATTAAAATGTGAATGAATCACTCACATAATTAGCAATAGGGGTAAATATAAAATATATAAATAACATATAGATAGATACAGAAATAAATCATAAATATTTTATAATGTTTTAATCATAAAATTGTTCCTCCCTCCCCTGCTGTAACTTTGCAGGGTATGAAAAACCCAGGCACCCATGGCCTCTGGAGGGGCAAAGAAGACAGGGCTGGAACTGAGGATGGTTGCGGGTGGAGTAGGCGGGGAGAGTTGCAAGAAGCAGGAAGAGAGGAAAACAACTACCATTCACGTAGGAGTGAGATGGCTCTTCACAGAAGGAAGCAAACAATTCTTAGGTGGGACTTACTTAACCATATGTTGCATGTACATATAGGCCAATCTGTGTTTTTTTCTATGAATCACTCTGTAATACCCATTATAGGAAGAAACTGAACTACCCACACAGGTATTATTTTTGGATTATGATATTTGAGTTAGCAAAACAGGTATGTCATCCACTATCTTACAACTTAAATATTCACAGTGCCGCATACAAATATATTTTTATTAAAACTCAAAGTGAAGATTTCTGCATTTTAAGAAACATCTGATGCACAATAGAAAACTCTGAAGAAATGAAATTCTCACTCTAGTCAGACTGTCCATTTGTTTTCATTTTATGTGTTTGCTTGTCTGATAAACACTCATCTCTGTGCTTTGAGAGTCAATATAATAATAATCTGTACCTGTTTCGTAGCTGTTCCCAATTTGTAAAACGTGTTTTTTTTTTTAATCTCATCTTAATTTCAGCTTTGGAGTTAGATATTCCTCATCCTCTGTTTCACAAGTAACAAAGCAAGAATCAGAGGGGTTTCTGAGCAGCCAAAGTCAAGTAGAAAGAAGGGCTAACAACAGCAAAGACCTGCATCCTCCAACTGCCCAACAAGTGATCCTTCCACTGCACTGTATGTCCTGCGCAATTCATGTACTAAGTCACAGCATCAGTAAACACAGAGTTAACAAAACAGTGATTATTGCATAAAACCACACCCTTATCATAAGTTTGTTGGGAATCATTAAAAGTGAAATTATTGTGAAAGAAAAATGAAAGAAGCAGGTGACGTAGATCAGGTAAAAATTAATAATAACAAAAGTTATTAGCTTAAGTTTCCAGAATGCATAGCCATTTGTTTTCATTGAATGACCTTTGTTTTCTAAGAATGACATGTCATAGTTGATTAAAATGCAACTCATGCCACAGTGAAAAAAAGCCAGAAATTTCAGGTAGGTTTCAGCATTTAGAACAAAAGGACACTCTAAAGATGCAGTGGAGTGGAGCAGTAAGTGGAAGGAAGAACAATATGGGAAACGTGTACTGGGAGGGTGAGGAAAACCTGAGGAAGAACGTGGAAAAAGACTGGAAGCTCTGTCAAGTTTCCAGAAACTGAAAACAAGCATATGCACAAAAAGAAACTTGACAACGTCTTCCTAAATGCACCAAGGAGCAATCTGCAGAACAGAAGGTTCCAGTAGCTGAGAGGAAATACACTTAGCAGAGGCAAACATCATCTTGGAACTGACTGAAAGGAAAATAACATTTAAAATGTTCAGACTCCTTGGAAGACAGAAGTAAAGGAACTGAGTCAGCGACTGAATGTCATAAGGCAGAGGTTTAGAGGCCGAGGACATCCAAGGAGGTGAGCTAACGAGAAGGAAAGACAAGGATGTGAAGTAAGAATATAAAAGAAGTATATACATATCCAAAATATACAGTAAGATTAGAAAGTAAAACAGAATACAAAGAAAAGAAAAAAAAAGGCACTTGGAAAGTGGCCTCTCCATGAAAGTGAGCCAATGCTTGTGCAGCAGTGAAGAACTTAAACTCTAAAATCAAACTGCCTGGTTCCACATTCTATCTTGACAGCTTAGTAGGAGGAAATTGGGGCAAGTTATTTAATCACTCTATACCTCAGTTTCTTCACTTGAAAAAGGAGAAAGTAATATCACCCACCACACAATAAATCAAGAGAATTCAGTAAGAAAATTGTTATAAAGCAAAGAATACAGTGCTTGTCACCAGAGTGAACAGTAAAACATAATCTTAATTTCCAAAGTCTTGAAAGATTTATAATACTTCAAAGATCAGAAATGGAATCTGGAAAAAAAAAGGCTATAAAAATGATCAGCATGATGGAAAAATAAGAAAAAAAGAATCAACTCTCCAACAGAAAGGATAACAGGACAGTAGGAAATAACTAGGTAATTTAAAGATGAATTTTTTAAAGTAATGAATAAAGTGAAAGATGTTACTTAAAATTTATCTGATCCAAGACAATTTACTATGAAAAATGTAAATTCATGGAAAATGGGCAAAGAAGCCCCTTATTTCTGAAAGACCCAATTCAGAAATCCAGCTTTAATCATTTAAAGTGGCTCACTTATTCTCATTCCCAGAATTGCTTTCAACCAGCCAAATGTTTCAATCCTGATTCAAGTAAATAACCAAGCATTTCGTATCTGAATGCTTTTCAGAAACAGTAAGGAAAGGTAATTTTTGCCAATCTTTCAAATATAACTTGAACTGAGTAAAGTTACAGACTCCCATTCTAACAAGAAAAGCTTCAATTTTCATGTTATAAATTTTTATTTTGTAAATGGAAACATCAATAATAAGTAATAATCACCAATCTTTTTTGAATGTTTACTATGAAATAAACTCTACACATCTTATTTCAGACTCTTTTGGAAAACTTTTCAAAATGCTAATTAGTTTGCAATAAAGTTGATGCTCAGAGAAGTGTAGTGAGTGCTTCAGGTCTTACAGTCAGTCAGTAGCAGAGCATGGATTTGAATAAAGGTCTATTTGAGCAAAAGTATGTCCTTTTCATAACGTTGCTACATGGGAGCCTTCACTGAATAATAACTTGAACTAAGTCACTACATAATATCACTGTATAATGATACCACCTATCACGGATTTAAACTAGTTATTTAAACTAGTTGTTATTGTTTGTTTTAACCCAAACCTATCTCTATCTGTATGTATCTATACATATACTTATTTATCTAAACTCCTATGAACTTGATAACAAAATTTCTTAAAATCTAAGCAGATAGAGAGCATTTTTGAGCTGCAAATCTTTAAAAAATATTTTTTTGGAAAGGAAAATTAGATTCCCTTAGTCATTATAAGTTCTCATAGTCTGAGCATCTCCGCAAGCTGCATTTGATTTTCATGCTTAAAGATGCATGGATTTCTTCATACAACACAGCCTCTAAAGACAAGCCAATTACTTCATCTGGTGCTGAAGTGAAGAAAGTGACTTGACACAGGAGGAAAACTTTCAGTGTTGTAGTTTATTGAAAGACTGAATGTCAGCCACTTTTGTGGCACACAAATTTTGTATAATACATTTTATATATTACATTAGGATTTGTCTGGATAATGTTGACAGTAGGAAATTTCAACTTTAAATATTGATTTTAGAACTTAGAACCTGTATAAAACTCAACTCCATTGTATTTGTAGCTGGTAAATAAAATGTGGCCTTTTATTCAAGGAAACAACAGGCACTTAGAGATATAAAACATGTATACAAAGAGCTGTAATTTAGGCAGAATGAAAGTGCTATACAAGAAATATAGAAGATGTCATTTAGCGTTAGGTATATCTCCTAATGCTATCCCTCCCCCTTCC
This sequence comes from Homo sapiens, assembly GCF_000001405.40. NCBI lineage: Eukaryota > Metazoa > Chordata > Mammalia > Primates > Hominidae > Homo > Homo sapiens. The sequence continues at coordinate 85,164,999 of NC_000007.14, forward strand.
CCCCACCCCACAACAGTCCCCAGTGTGTGATGTTCCCCTTCCTGTGTCCCTGTGTTCTCATTGTTCAATTCCCACCTATGAGTGAGAACATGCAGTGTTTGGTTTTTTGTCCTTGCGATAGACGAGTTAATGGGTGCAGCACACCAACATGGCACATGTATACATGTGTAACGAACCTGCACGTTGTGCACATGTACCCTAAAACTTAAAGTATAATAATAATAATAAAACTTTTTTATGTAAATTAAAAAAAGAAATATAGAAGATGAATTAAATGGTAAAAAAAAAAACTTCTAGAGTGAGATGGATAGGAGATGTAGTAGAATCAAAGAAAATTTCACAGTAGAGAAATCATTTAAACGAGAGTTTGTGAATAGATAATGTTTCAATAGACACATAAGATACGACGTGAGAAAGACGTGATGTAATAGTTTCATGTGACTAAGATAAACACGGGCTAAACTGCAAAGTTAGATTACAACCCAATCATGACAAGGGTATTGTGTTTACACTGGATTCTGCCATCACTTGTAGTAGGGAGTGAATGACACCAGAGGTGTCCAAACAGGCCAGTCACTTTATTTGAGTTTACCTTATCAGGAGAAAATCATGCTTCACCCACAATAGTTTCATCACCTGTGATTTTTCAATATCTGAGTACATATGCATACCATCTTTTAAAAAGTTCACAATATATTTCTTTAAAACCAATTCAGGTAATTCCCTTTAAACTAAGAAGGACATCAGTTATTCCTGACAATTATTCTCATATAAAATAGGAGCAAGTATGTGGCATAAGTCTCCTTTTATGGAGAAAATATGTGGTAGAGAAAGCAATCACGCATCTCAAACACTACAAAGTATTTCCAAAGGTCAGCCTTTTACAGAAATATTCAGAGAAGATGCTAAAAACAAGAGGCAAGGGAAAATGCAGATGGGTTCATATACCTTAAAAGGACATATATTATTCCTAACAAAATTATATAAATATGTACCTGAGTATATAATGCGCTTCATCAATTTTTTAATCAGTAGAGGAAGGTGCCAAGAATACGGTTAATGGCATAAACAGGTTTAATAATCATGAGAATCTAATTTGCTTGGAATGATACTGTTCTTACTTTATTTACTACTATATTTCATATACCTACACACATATACACATTCAAACATGCTATATATATACACGTCATACTTAATGTTGTTAGTTTTGCTTAAATTATGTATTTTTCTACACGATGTTGATCTTACCAAATAAAGTTTTACTAACAATGATAAAGGTTCTTAAATACAATATCCTAACTTGGTTAGGGCTTATGATAAAATGAGAAGAAAAATATGAGTTAGAAAACTAATAAAATAGTTCAGGCAAAAGAACATGAAAGTTTGAATCATGGTGTTGGCAGTGACGATGGAAAGGAGGCAAGTTTTAAGAAAACTTGCTGAAGTGATTGGAAAAAAAGAGCAAAGGAAAGTGATAATAATAGTAGCTAACATTTATGAGGTATTACTAAGGACCAGACATTATTCTAAGTTGTGAACACATATTAACTCAATCCACACAGTAATTTATTAAATACTCTTAACACTTCATTTGCAGATGTTGAATCTAAGGCATAGAGAGATAAAGCAAATTGCCCAAGGCTACAAGCTTGTTAGTGACAGAATTGGGATGGGAACCCAGGTGGGACTAGGTTCACAGGACCTTCTCTGTATTGCATTAGAGATGACTGATGTGTAAAGTTCAAATTACTAGCCGTATGGTGCTGATAAAAATAAAGAAAAGAGGTTCAGTGAGTCGGTAAGGGAAAAAATAAAAAATGAAAGCCCCGTTTTATTTTTGACATTTTATATCTGAAGGGCTGGAAGAACTTTAAAGTGGATAAGAAAACATGAGTTAGAGGTTTTGTACAAAGGTGATAATGGATTATAGCCAAAGCAACTGATCAGAACTATTATCTAAGTGATGGTGTACAGTGAATGTGAATGTAAATTACCAAATTAAACAAACTTTAATTGAAAAAATGTCCTGAAATCAATACAAACGTATTGGCCTTAGAGAAATATCCATTAGGATGGCTGGAGAAACAGCAGATATTTCATTAGACACAGGTAAACTGAGACCCGCCTGAAGATCATAAAAAGCCAAAACAATATTATGTTTCATCATGCAGGGAGCTATATCAACTACATTGAAATGTCAAGAGTTGAAATGTTATAATAGGCTGAAACATTTTGCTTGCAATGCCTCATCTGGAGGTCTTGGCTGGTTAAATAGAGAAGTGAGGCCAAGAGTATCTGGAAATATGCAGAACAGTCAAGGGTGGTGATGTTCTCATAGAAACATAAAGCATTTCAACGGGAATGAAGGAAAGTAATGAGAAAGCTAGAAGGATCGGTGGTTGTGTTATAAATTTTCACCTTTGAATGATATAATTTACTGTGAAGCTGATACTAATGTTGGACGTCTATTTGTGGTAGATTAGTAAGAATGTGACTTTGCCCATAAAATTATCTTAATTTATTGTTATAAATACACGAAATATCTTCAAGAAGCATTATAAGCATTCAAGGTCTACCTGTATAGAGGTATAATCAAAAGGCCAATATATTTAAGAAGGAAGGGTGTATTTTCATTGTCAAATCCCCAGTTTAAAAAAAATACATCTAAAACTTGGGGAATTATTATTCCAGGAAGGATGGAATTTCCCTCTACAGGAAAATATCTACAACTGAAAGATATAATGCAATAAATAAATACATGATTTAAAAGAAAAATAAGACTGCACATCTGCTTCCTGATAGAATTATGATGAATACATTGGGAAATGTTTCTTTTGGTTTCTATTATTAAAGGTGACCACATCAAGAAAGCATGATATTGTGTAAAAACATTATCTTTCTCTTTGTTCACATCCAGATAACAAATAGAAAATGGTAATACTTTAGATAAGTCTACCTCTCACAGACAAACAGCTATAAACAAAACACTAGTAGGGGTACTCTATACTGTTCCCATGCATATTTTTGATAACGACATATATTTTGGACTGGGGTGTATATAATAATTGAAAAGTTTGACAGAATTTTATACTTTTCTTATCATAGTCTAATGGCTGAAATAGATTAATCAACCTGTGGCTCTTATTATTTTTTAAAGACAACTATAAATATGTGGAAAATGGCCCATCTCTACCTACAGAGCCTACCCATTGCTTAATATTTGGGTGGCTTGGTGGAGAGAGGATGCAGTCAGACAGTAGTCCCAAGAAAGTTTCATCCTTTCTACAGGCTAGTCAGAACAAGTTTTCCAAGCAATATCTAACAGCAAATACTACTTAACTTTTTATCAATGTATGACCTATTTTTAATTCTTATTTTAAAACACTTCTGTGACTATTAGTTGTCACCATGCTTTGATGTAAATGTCAACAATTCTGGCAGTACAGGCTTCTTTCTAAATTAGTTGTCAACCTCACTAAGAAGCAAAAAGTTTACTCTTGTGGGAATGAAGAGGCTTCAGTTGTAATCTCAGCTCTGTGATAACTCAGTCATGTGCCTATGAGCACACTACAACTAGTGTCTCAGATTGGTGCAAAAGTAATTGCGGTTTCTGCAATTTTTTTTTTTTTTTTTTTTTTAATTTTAATTACTTTTGCACCAACCTAAGAATTGGATTATGAATTACTCAAGCCCAGAGCTATTCCCCTCTGAACACTTAGCACTTATCTTAAATTATATATATATCTGTGTGTCTGTATATATATAAATATATTCATGTTTAAGGAAGGAAAGGTGACAAAGAAAGAAAGAAAGAAAGATGAAAGAAAGAAAGAAAGAAAGAAAGAAAGAAAGAAAGAAAGAAAGAAAGAAAGAAAGAAAAGAAAGAAAGAAAAAGAGAAACAAGGAGGGCAGTAAAGTGTTGGGGCAGGGGAAGGAATTCAAACCAGCTTGTGCTCAGTTGTCCATGTAAAATTAAGAAATTTAGACAATATCTCAGTTTGCTTTTTTATTCTGAAATACTATGAGTTCATGAGATAAATTAGATAAAAAATATTTTATCATTATTTTCTTATACTATGAGTCCATGAGATACATTAGAAAAAAATTATTTTATCATTAGCTTATTAATTAGAAGGATTTTCAAATAAATATTCTGAAACTGACAGTTTGTCAAGGCTTATACTCCAATTATGTCCAAGACTGAAATTAAACAAAACAAAGAAACAAACAAAGAAAAACCTTCAGACACTAGTTCTGTTAAACAAGTTTTAACAAAATGCAGCTTGTTGGAGAAATTCAAAAATTATTTAGTGGATATGCACTAATTTAATATATTTAGAATAAAATTGAACTTTAGAGACACTGCTTTCTGAACACTAACAGGTTGTCTGCTACTTTCACATAGTATATTTTGCTCCTGACATTCTTTTGAATGAAGATAACCTAAAGCGAAATGGGCTGATAGTAAGGAGGCAAAATAGAGTACTTAGAACATTTTCATAGCTTATCAACTTAATGATACGGAGGTTAAAATGTCCATCCTTCCATCTAACACATGTTTTAAATTAAATCAATACTGCCACCTAAGAGACTGATTTTGGATATCTTTGATTGAGAAAAGGATAATCATTTTAAGTCTTTCTGATTCTAACAAAAATTGGAAAAGAAGAGCTGTGGTATCTGTTTCATTATTTATTTAAACAAAAATATTTTACTGATGCTACATACAACTCAGGATTTTAGATTCTTTTTTCAAAACTCTACTTACATTTTTTTTCATTTGCAGATACAAAACAACTATTGATCACTATGCTAGGTATCACACAGAATGAATATGAAATGTGGAACTATCAGTTCTTAAGAACTGATAGATTGCTAGTGAGACAAAGTGTCCATATAAAATAGTTTTAAATTTAAATTATTTATTTTGATGTGTGAATGTGTGTTTGTGAATGTGAAAATAAAAAAAAGTTCATTATATATGTGATCTGGTTTGGTATTCTGATGGACGGAGAAGGTGAGATGTGATTTGGTTTTTAAAAAATAGAATAGCAAAAGATTTAAAAAAAGAGAGAGCGAGAAAGAAGGAATTCCATTCAGGATGAACAGCATGAGCAATGCTGGGCCCTAAATATTAAACATACATGACAACAAAATAAGTGTTCACTACTTTATTTCACAAAATAAATATTAGTAAGATTACCATTGGTTTCTATTTCTAGTTCTATGATGTATGTTTGAAAGTTGATGCCTGTACAAACCTATTTTCTGTATCTCATTATTTTAGTAGTCTGAAACAGTCATCTTCCTTTAGCAGGAAAAAAGATCATGAGGTATTCTGTATACTGCTAGAATCCAGTCTGACCTCAGACTTCTATGTATGTGGAAAGATATTTCTTGTTCCATTGTGAATTTTGGGAACAACACAACAATCATTTCAAAAAGTGTAATATCAATGGGAAGGTTTGAATCTCAGGGAATCTAGGTCCTGAGAGATATATAAAAAGTTCTATGTCAGGCAGAGTGATTTGAATATAGAATAGGGCAAAATCATAAACCATGTGAATATCAGGCAGTTAAAGTCTGACATAATAGTCTAATAAATTATTTCTTATAATTTCTCTGGTATTCTTCTTTTATATTCTCATTACCATTGCAATAGTCTAGCCCATATCACATATGTGAAAGGGTTAATTAATCTCCTTGAAAATTATTCATAGGTTCATCTTCCCAAGACACTAACTCTTGGGTTATTTCATTGTTCAAAAATATTCAGTGGTTCCCTATCAACTATGGAATAAAATTCAAATTCCAAGTCCTAGCATTTCAAGTTTCTGCAACCAATAGAACATGCTTAATATATACTGGTGAGAAGACATCAAAACACTAGTGTTGACTTTTAAAATAACAATGGTGTCAGGCACCAGAATAGATTATTTCTTTATTTACTCTCTTTAAAACTCATTGCATTTTGGATGCAAAATTGTCATTTATCTCTATCTCAATATATAAGTATACTAAGGCGGATACAGTTAAATAACTCCAATTTTCTCAAATAATTAATAGAATAATTGTAATTGTGACTCAAAAGTGAGCTTCCTTTCCACCAAAAGACAGTGTACACACTTGTGCATACAAAGTCACAACCAGTAGGAGACGGCACGTGGTGAAATCATAAGAATGTAAACCCTTAAGTGGATGATCCATTGCTGTAGACTAGGGCCTACTGGAAAAGCAACAAGGCTGAGAGGTTAGAGTTAATAATTTATGTGTATTTCCCATTTAAATAATAACTGGAATGAGCAAAGTGAATGGGTCAGTGAACAAAGTCTATAGAGAGAAAAAGAACAGAACCGTGGACAAAGAGAATGTAGTGAGAGGAGGAGAAAGCAACCATGATGGAGCTAGAAAGGGAACAGTCAGGGGAAACCCGGGAATTATGGGGGCCTCAAAATAAGAACCCACATGATAGTCCTAGGATTGTTCCATCTTCCCTACCTGTGTTCATTCCTGGGCTATGGACCTGGAACAACCATTATTACCTTGATCAAGATCAACCTTTTTTTAGTGACCTGGAACTACTCAGAAAACCCACTGTTTGATAGGCAGGTCCCTTGAATAACACCTAAAGGTAATAATTTGAAAAAGGACACCCTTTATGTCGCCCACAAAATAATTAAAAATTAATATTGTTTATCTCATTTACTAAAAATCTCACAGAGAATCAAGCCAGCAAATTTATAATACGTATTCACTAAAGTAATAAATAAAATTACATAAGGAATGAGTGAATTTATATATAAAAAAGGAAAAATAAAACAAAAATGAACTTTGAATTGACTTGACTCAGTTTTAGTCTTTAAAATTGTTTCCTTCTCTTGATTTGCTCTAACAAAATTATCCTTAAGGACTCAGGGAATAGAAAATGACACATGCTAAAGCGGTGTGTGTGTGTGTGGGTGTGTGTGTGGGTGTGTGTGTGTATATGTTTATAATATATATAGAGAGAGACACACATACATATATAGACACACATATGTATGAGTAAAGGCTTCTTTTCCCTCTGCACTAGAAAGAGTACAAGAAACATTTTACAGCAATTTATCTGCAAACATAGGGCAATATTTAGTATTCCCAAGATGAACATTGTAGAGTGATTATTTAGAAATCACTAAATAATTATTTGTGATTACTTAGAAAATATTTAGAGTAATTCTTATGTATCCTATCTCTAAAACATTTCACTTTCTGTAGATAGGGTTTTGTAAATTATTAAAATCTGATATATTGATGAGGACCCAAAAGCAAAAGAGACAATTATGGGAATAGACTAATTTGAAACCATACCAAGAAAAGCATTCAACAAGTATTTTCTCATAAAATAATCAGAACATTATTCAGTTTCACTTCAACTTGCTCAGAAGCTGAAGTGACCTTTAAGTTCAATTTCTGGAAAACATTGATTAACATACTTTGCTGTTTCTATTAAACTGTATTCTGAGGAATGACCAAGCAGATAAAGCAGCATGGAACAAAGATGTACTTTGCACATTAGATTCCCTACAGATGCAGAAGTTACTCATTTATCTCTGGGTTCTCCCTAAACTTGCTTCTTGAGGGATGAATGCTTAGCTTCTGTTAGGCAACTTGATTGCACAAGTGCTGTACTGCAGGTTCCTACACGGTCCTCTGAAGCCCAAATTTAGGAAGCAAGCATTCTGGGCTCTCTTAGCAACTAGACAGCTCAAGTAGAGCAAGTTGAGCACTGGTGTGTGGTCTACAAACGATCCCGTCTCTGGGCATGAGACTGCACTATGGAGAATGTTACTGGGCTGAGTTCCAGATCCTTGAGTGAGTGGATGGTGAATTAGGTCATTTTGTTTCCCCTCACTTTCTTATGAGGGAGACTAAAATAGAATATTCTGAAACAGCAGAATAGTGAGAGCATTTAACAAAAGATCCCAAGAGCAATACCTTTTTAGAAAAGGCATAAGGAACAAGGCACAAAAGAAACAAGGTTGTAATCACACAGTGGAAGTAAACTGTGGGCAAGGAGATGGGAATGAGAGCAGACCCAACTTGGAAGGCTAAGTAAATAACTATGCATTGGGTTAAAAAGAGAGAAAGAGAGAGAGAAAGAGACAGAGAGAGAAAAGGGAGAGAATTGAACAAATATACATTGAACATTTGAGGGTAGATAAATGGAGTAAAAAAATATTTAATGTTATGAATCCAGTAGTAGATAGTTTAAAAGTAAACAGAAAGATGCTAGGAAATAAGTCTGGGAATTCAGAGGAGGGTGTTTAAGGCTTTTACTACTTGCTGATCAGCTTCTATAACTGGCTGACTCTTCTGTGGCAACTAGTATTAAGGGTTTACTCTGTCCTGGCTTCTTCCTCACATCACTGTAGCATGATCTATTGCACTGTGCCCCAAAATTATCCCTTTAAACACACTTCCGTGCCAAAACAGATGGGATACTCAATTCTAAAACACCATTCTCTTATGAAAGTATATACTTGAAGTAGGCCACCAAGGGGCTGTTCTTTGAATGAAATGGATGAAACTCAGTAGATAAAAAATACAAAAGCAGACGAATGGAGTGGGAATTCGATCTATTGTAATATGCATAGTCTGTTTAAGAAAAAGAAAAAGTAACATACAGCTATTGTAACACATCATATAGTATTTCGTTTCCCTGTATTAACCCATGTGTTCCTCACAATAACTCTGTGAGATTAGTGTTTTCATGAACTCCAATTAAAAAATGGGACACTGAGATGTAGAAAGTAACTTGCCTGAATCACACAACTAAGAGCTGACAGAGCTAGTATCTGGACCCAGGATGTCTGCTTTCACAACCCATAGTCTTAGCCACTGCACCACATTCATTTCCATATTTTAAAGCCCCCATTGAAAATTAAACCAATCAAGGACTCTGACACTTTTAGTTACTAAAGTGAGTGACTGCCTTTATAACTGAAATATTGAGTAATCAGGACTAATCTCAGGTGTCGAGCCAGGGCTCCTGGTGTGCTGAAATAGCTGGGACCCAAGAAAGAAAGGATGGAGATAATACTCTGAACATAACCTCCACATAGATAAAAGCAGGTGAGGAAGAAGGTGATGTAATTAAGCATAGGCTGTGAGAAAAAAGACCAAGACTACAAATAGGTCCTTTTGTTGATTTGTGTTTGATACTGTAAGGATATGTGATTTAACCCACGGTGATAAAGAATTCTTCTAAAATTGTCTACTTCAGGGCCAGCCATGTTTTTTCATCTGTGTTTCATCAGTGACTATTACAGTGCCTGGCATGCAGCGGGTGCACAATAAATACTCATTAAAGAAAAGACAAAAGGGGAGCTGGAGTTAGGAGGGCTTCAAGAGCAATATAAATATATGGGAAATATAGGAGTGACATAAGCTTTGTGATAAGATCCATAGTCCAAGTTGTCACAAGACAAAAAAACAGAGGCATTAGATTCTGAATGGATTAATTTCAGTCAAGTATTAGAAACTGCACTTATTTTGTGCAAGACTTGGCAATATGCTATAAGAATATGGAAAAAAGATACCTAGGTAACAACCATTTGGTTTGTATCCTTGAGAAACAATCTTGTGGCACTAGAAGTAAGGGAGAGGGCAAGAGCTACTGGGGACTGAAAGAGATCTTACAAACAAGTGGGTAGATTTTGAATGAAAAAATCTTTTCCAGGTAAGATTAAGTGGGTGTTTGTGGGGTAGGGAGTAGAGGCATCGGTTGACGGCTGGGAGAGTTGGTGGCAATAAAATATATAAAATTATTCCAGTTGAAAGGGAAAATCGTAGCCAGAGCCCCTTAGGGAAAGAGCACAGCAAAACTGTAGACCCATATGCCTGGTCCACATGGCTAATGCTGGTTTGCTCTGCTTATCAATTTAGGAAATTTACAGTAGATTTTTCTCATCCTAATACACTATCAAAGCACACATATACTTCAACACTGTCTGTACACAGTTAGTAAAGGAAAACTCAAAATCTTCATGTACGATTATTGAATGTAATAAAGGGTTGCAATTATACAAAAGAATGATTGTTCATTGACATGGAGATGATGGTTTTGTACTGCTAAATAGTAGGGGAAAGTAGGCCTGAATGCGATTGTGATTTTTAATAACTCGAGTGAAAGTGCACAGGATATGAAATGACTATTCACTGTACACTATTAACTTCTGAAATATGAATAAAAGTACTAGTTCCTGAAATATGAAAAGACACGTGATAGTGACACAACAAAAGAAGCCTTCTAAACAATCAACATCCAGAGACTGGGGCTGGGATAGGGTGAGGAATCCTGTAATATCTTAGCCCAGGCTCTCTGAAGGTTTATTGAGTACACATGTGTAAGCATAGCATTCCTTCTCTTTGCAAGTTATTCTGGCCAAAAACTTGCCCTTTTGAAAACCCGAACAATGAATGCTCTCTGCCAAACCTCATCATAGTGAAGTCTAAGTCAAAAATCCCCACAGTTCTGTGAAATGTGAATCAAGCCAAAGAAAGGGAAATGTTATTCACCCGTCTGTACATCCAGTATAGGTGCTTTTGAACAGCTACTTTACAGGTGATAGAAGTCAATTTCAAAATCTACTACTATAATTTCTTAATTTGTATTAACTTCCATTTCCAAATTAAAAATAATTTGTCTTACACTCTTTCATCATGCAGGTCATTTTTCAGACAGAATAATCTGGCTACTTTTATAATTGGCCAATCTGCTTGGGAAGAAACATATAACAATGAATTCGGTTATGATGGGGAACTATATAAATATATGAAGAGACAAGACCGGAGATAGTGTGGTCAAAACAATGAATTTTTAATTTTAAAATATGTCAAGGATAAAGTTAATATATATAAAACTGCAAAAATATATAAAGAATTCACTCTCTGGTGTGTAAAGTCAAACCTAAAATCTTGTTAACATTTGAGATGGTTATTTTCATTTACAAATAAATTTTTAAAACTAGTACTCTCATTATGATTAAGTATTCACAAGCCATCATGAAGATATATTGATAGAAGTTTAAAAAAAAGAGGTAGACAACATGAGTCTATACAAAAAAGTGAGTTGCACATACCTAGTGTGCAAATTGAGTATGCATTTAAAAAGTTTTAGTGAGAATATTATATTGCTTCATCCCTCTATTGGATTGAGCTAAGTTGTCAAGACAAGATCACTCCTTAAAACATTTTTAAATTTATTTTGTGTAACAGAAATTAAAACCCAAAATCCAAGATTCTAGTAAGAGTCCAAAGCATATTAGTCATATTGATCTTAGTCTTTTCAGACACTTCTATTGTTTCAGAAAATTCAGTAGGTTATCACCCTTTAGTCACACATTCTGGGATCAGGTTCCATGACTTTTTCCAAACAAGTTCTTGAAATGTGTTTTGTATGCTACGACTCATACAAACTAAAACCAGAAATAAAAAAGCATGCCTAAACTTTCAGCTGTTGCCCCAGTATAACACAAATTCAGCAGAAACTCCAGTTAACTGTGAAGCACAGAATCAGGTCATTATTAAATAAGTATAAATATAAGGTAAAAATAGTATGACTTTGGTATATATAAAATTATATAGAAAAGTGAAAACAACTTTGGGTCTGACTGAAGGAAAGCTTCCTGAGAGACACTAAAACTCAATTAAAAAAAATTCAGCAATTTGGAACATAAGGAAGAGAAGGAATAATGTGTAAAGTAACATGTATATATGTGTGTGTGTGTGTATTTGTATACATATATATATATAGAGAGAGAGAGAGAGAGAGAGAATTGACATTTAGAGATATATCTGTACAATCATGTGATGTGTACAATGTTTTATTCAAAAATGGATCACATATATCAAGGTGGTCCCAGAAGTATAATATGTTTTTACCATATCTTTTCTATGTTTAGTTATGTTCAGAAACACAAATACTTCACACTGTGTCATAGTTGCCTACAATATTCAGTATAGTAGCATGCTGTATAGATTTGTAGCCTAGGAGCAATAGGCTATACCATCTAGGTTTGCGTAGGTTCATTCTATGATGTTTGCACAATGACAAAATTGCCTAACAACATATTCCTCAGAACATATCCCTGTCATTAAATGATACATGACTGTATAGTGCATGTATTCAGACATGGATGTATCTGTGTATAGATATGCATATATATGTGTAAAATATAATAGGGAGATAGTAAGATGGTAGCCATATTTGCTGGCCACTCTATATTGTGGAACACATGTAAGTTTTAGCTTCTAAAAGTTATTTTGGGGGGAGGTAGAAGCCTCTTGGGTATAATTTAATATTCAAAATAGTCATGGTATATATATTATACATATAACATTTGTTGGAGAGTGATTCTTCAGGCACTTAATGTGGTAGATGTTATTGAGATTGAAAGAGAAAAAAAGAGTAAGTAGTCACACAGTAATTTTGGCAAGAATCTTGGAAGCATAATCATCATCTGGAATTGAAAACATCTGGCACTGATGTTGTGTCTTGTCAATATCATTAAAATAGCAAAGACAGATGTAAAAAATGCACATATTTTTTAAGTGCTTAAGATTGATTTATAGAGATGACTAATAAATAGCATTTTTTGCATGAGAGCCTATAATTACAATCATAATTTGAAATCTGAATGTTTTTAGTAATTCAAATGTGTTATTTTATTAGAAAAATAAGTAATTACAAGAACAGCTAATTTACAGTATTTATTTATTATGATAGTATTTATTATAAACAGAAAAAATGGCAGCAAGGTGGTAAATGGAAGTAGAGGAAAACATAAGCATTAAGTTGAAAGGCACTGATATGGTCTGGTTCTGTGTTCCACCCAAATTTCATCTTGAATTGTAATCCAAATTGTAATACCCATGCATTGTGCAAGGGATCTCATGGGAGGTGATTAGGTCATGAGGGCAGTTCCCCCATGCTGTTCTCGTGATAGTGAGTGAGTTCTCATGAGACCTGATGGTATTATAAGGGGCTTTCCCCCACTTCTCTCTGCACTTCTATCTCCTGCTGCCATGTGAAGAAGGACAGGTTTGCTTCCCCTTCTGCCATGATTGTAAGTTTCCTGAGGCCTACCCAGCCATGTGGAACTGTGAATCAATTAAACCTCTTTCCTTAGAAATTACCCAGTCTCAGGTATTTCTTCACAGCAGCATGAAAACAAGCTAACACAGTAAATCAGTACTGGATAGTGTGGTGCTGCTGTAAAGATACCTGAAAATGTGGAAGCGACTTTGGAACTGGGTAACAGGCAGAGGTTGGAATGGTGTGAAGGGCTCAGAAGAAGACAGGAAGATGTGAGAAAGTCTGAAACTTCTGAGACTTGTTGAATGGTTTTGACCAAAATGCTTATAATGATATGAACAATGAAGTGCAGGCTGAGGTGGTTTTAGATGGAGATGAGAAATGTGTTGGGAACTGGATAAAGGTGTCTCTTGCTATGTTTTAGCAAAGAGACTGGTGGCATTTTGCCTCAGCCCCAGAGATCTGTGGAGCTTTGAACTTGAGAGAGATGATTTAGGGTATCTGGCAGAAAAAATTTCTAACTGGCAAAGGGCTCAAGAGTAAACAGAGCAAAAAAATTTGGAAAATTTGCCTCCTGATGATGTAACAGAAAAGAAAAACCCATTTTCTGAGGAAAAATTTAAGCCTGTGGCAGAAATTTGCATAAGTAACTAGGAGCCAAATGTTAAACATGAAGACAATGGGGAAATGTCTCCAGGGCATGTCAGAGACTTCACAGCAGCCCTTCCTGTCACAGGCCTGGAGGCCTAGAAGAAAAACGTTTCATGGGCTGGATCCAGGGCCTCCCTGCTGTGTGCAGCCTTGGACTTGGTGCCCTGTGTTCCAGGTGCTCCAGCCGTGGCTAAAAGGGGCCAAGTTACAGCTCAGGCCATTGCTTAAGAGGGTGCAACCTAAGTCTTGGCAGCTTCCATGTGGTGTTGGTCCTGCAGGTGCAAAGAAGTCAAGAATGAGATTTGGGAAACTCTGCCTAGATTTCACAGGATGTATGGAAATGCATGGATGTCCTGGCAGAAGTCTGCTGCAGGAGAAGAGCCCTCATGGAGAACCTCTGCTAGGGAAGTACAGAAGGGAAATGTGGGGTGAGAGCCCTCACAAAGTAATGGAGTAGTGGCCAGAGCCTCCTGTAGGGGCACTGCATAGTGGAGCTGTGAGAAGAGGGCCACCATCCTCAAGACTCCAGAATGGTAGATCCACTGACAGCTTGCACTGTGCTGGAAAAGCCGCAGACACTCAATGCTGACCTGTGAAAGCAGCCAGGAGTGGGGCTGTACCTTGCAAAGCCACAGGAGCAGAGCTTCCCCAGGCTTTGAGAGCACACCTCTTGTATCAGCATAACCTGGATATGAGACATGGAGTCAAAGGAGATCATTTTGGAACTTTAAGGTTTAATGACTACTTTATTGAATTTTAGACTTGCATGGGGCCTGTAGCTTCTTCGTTTTGGCCAATTTCCCCTTTTGGAATGGGTGCATTTCCCCAATGCCTGTACCCCAATTATATTTTGAAGTAACTAACTTGCTTTTGATTTTCCAGGTGCATATCTGGAAGAGACTTGCTTTGTCTCAGATGAGACTATGGACTTGAACTTTTTTTTTTTTTTTTTGAGACGGAATCTCGCTCTTTTGCCCAGGCCGGACTGCAGTGGTGCTATCTCGGCTCACTGCAAGCTCCGCCTCCTGGGCTCACACCATTCTCCTGCCTCAGCCTCCTGAGTAGCTGGGATTACAGGCGCCCGCCACTGTGCCTGGCTAATTTTTTGTATTTTTAGTAGAGATGGGGTTTCACCGTGTTAGCCAAGATGGTCTTGATCTCCTGACCTCGTGATCCACCTGCCTCAGCCTCCCAAAGTGCTGGGATTACAGGCATGAGCCATCGCACCCAGCCGGACTTGGACTTTTGAGTTAATGCTGAAATGAGTTAAGACTTTGGGGAACTGTTGGAAAAGCATAATTGTGTTTTGAAATTTGATAAAGATGACATTTGAGAGGGGTCAGGGTCAGAATGATATGATTTGGCTCTGTGTCCCCACCTAAATCTTATGTTGAATTGTAATCTGAATTATAATCCCTATGTGTTGGGAGAGGGACCTCATGTGAGGTGACTAGGTCATGGGAGCAGTTTTCCCATGCTGTTCTTATGATAGTGAGTGAGTTCTCACAAGACATAAGGGTTTTATAAGTGTTTTTTCCCTCTTTCCCCTGCACTTCTCTCTCCTGCTGCCATGTGAAGAAGGACATGTTTGCTTCCCCTTCCACTATGATTATAAGTTTCCTGAGGCCTCCCCAGCCATGTGGAACTGTCAGTCAACTAAACCTCTTTCCTTTATAAATTACTCAATCTTGGATATGTCTTCATAGCAGTGTGAAAATGACTAATACATGCATTAATCTTATTGACACCAGAGAATGGTTCACTATTAGTAAAGTTTTCCACTATATAATTTAAATATAACATTTAAGATAGACTTCATTTTTTTGAATACTTTTAAATTTACAGAAACATTGAGCAAATAGTACAGATAAGTCTGCCATAAACCACATCCTATTTTTCTTATTATTTATATTTTACATGGTATGGACATTTTTTACAATTAATGAATCAATAATGACAGATTTTCAATAATCAAAGTCCATACATTATTCAGATTCTCTTTGTTTTAATCTGACATTTTTTATCTCTGTTCCAGGGTCCCATGCAGATACTATATTACATTTAGTTCTCATATCTCTTTAGGCTTAGGCTTCTCATGCTGTAACAGTTTCTCAGACTTTCCTTGCTTATTTTGAGGCTTTTGTTTGTTTGGTTTCGTTCATTTGCGCGGAGAAGTGATGACTTTCTTTGTTTTTGAAGACAGGTGTGAAGATTACTGATCAGGTATTTTGTAGAATGCTACTCTAGTGTAAGTTATCTGATGTTTTTCTTGTGCTTAGATTGAAGATATGAGTTTGGGAAGAAAGATCACAGAGGTAAATTGTCATTTTAATGCAATAATATCAAAAGCATAAACTATCAACATGATTTACAACCCACTGTTGATATTGACCTTGATTACCTGGCTAAGATCGTGAGATAGGGATCCTCAGGCTTATCCACTGTGAAATGCTACCCCACGCCAATCTTGCTTTCTAATGCTGTTATCCAATAGAAAGAACCAGACACCTTTGGAGAAATGGCTCATTCCAGGACTGGATCAGGGTGAGCCTACAGCATCTTGAAATGACAAAGAATAAAGACATGCTCACAACACACACACACACACACACACACACACACACACACACACACATGCACTGCTAGAGTTGTATTGAAAAGACAGAGGAGCCAATTGAAAGAGCTCCCAGAGGCCAAAGCTGGAAAAATTTGAGTAACAAATAAATAAATTAAATTAAGTAGTATTGATTATAACACAAGTATAAAATAAATAACCATGATAGTATGCTAGTATAAATAAGAGATTGAATAAATTAATAAGTAGGGAGGAAAAGACAATTCTTCCATGCACAATAATTTCAAGTAATGTATGTAGCTATTCTGCCCACAAGGAAGAGAAGCCTAACTCTCTACTCCTGAAGTGTGGGCTAAGCATGCTGACCTCCTTCCAAAGAGTACAGCATGGAAAAAGGAGGGGAGAAAAAGAAGGTAATCTTTGTAGCTTATTGAGCTTTGCAAATGAGTGAGCAAACTGAATAAACTGACCAGTGAAAGATTAGCATGCTAGTTAAAGATGACCTGGTTGATGGCTGTTAAAATTATGAAACATGAACATGGAACTAAAGCATCCAATATTAATAATGATGGATTGAAAATCATCAAAATTATTAAAATGCAAACATAAACAGTATACTTCATTATAATGTCAGCTTTTTAACATGACTTACCTATGTATAGGTGTTTACCTATGTATAAATGTCTACTAATCTTAATATCACTCAAGTTTCAAAATAATCTCAAAAGTGTTGCAATTGTTTATCAGCGTATTTCTTGGTTATGGTGAATTCTTCTTTTCTTTTATCTTTTTTTTAGTTATTATTTAGGTATTTAAATTTAGGATGAATTAACATGGACATAGATTGTGTATACATATCTTTATTAATTGGGCCTTTCCAAAAATTACAAACAATTTTTAAATAATTTTTAATTAGTATTCTTATATACTCTATCTGATCTGATCATTACACTATTCCTGTATGTTATGCATTATCATAAAACTCCCAGTCTCTCACAATTTTTTATGAGGGGTAAAGCCCTAATATTAGAAATAACACTTTTTGCTAAAATCTCAGGGAAAGTAAATTATAAACTCCAAAATCTTTAATTTGACTTTACAGTCAATAAAAAGATTCAAGATCACTATTACCTACTTAAACAATTGGTTATACTTCAATAGTATTTAGAATTTGTTCAGCATTGAACAACATGAAGGTATAAAAAATTAGGGAAGACAAATTCCTACCCTCAAGATTCTTATTACCTAGTAAGAGATCATAACAACAGAAAAAGTAAAGAATACAAATGTTTGAAAATAGACTATTAGCTTGACAGGTATGGCAAATGTATAAAAATTAAAAAGGATTTTGGCCATGTTTCCTGGAGAAAGGGAATTGCTTTAAAACCACATTTTGAGGTGGGAAGGAATGTGATCAATGTTATTGCCCATAGTAAATCATCATTATTATTATTGTTATTATGACTTATTCCACAAATGTGAATATTTGTTTCTCCTTTCAAGGATTATGTTATGGAGTGTTGAAATGCTACTTTACTTAAGTACTCTGTACCACTCCAGATGTTTAGAGGAAGAATAATAATAACTTTTCAAAACAAGCCTATGGCTACTCTTGTTCATGAAGAAAATTATTTATTAATTGACAAGGATGATTCTGAAGGAACATGTGTCAGCAATGTATTGAACCGCCCAGACAGAACAGCAAAGTTCAGAGTCAACATTTGCTTTTCCAAAATAATGAAGTTATAACAAACAACCCGAAGACATAATATTCATTAAACTAGCACCAGTCAGAATGTCTTCCCCTTGAGATTGAGAATTTGATATTACACAGGCATAATAAAAATAGTAATGAGTTAGCCCAGTAGCTTTGTTAACACAGTAAACAGACACTGAGACACAGAGATGCTTGCCAACCCCCGAAGTTATCTTCAGAGACACCTCTGGTTTATGATAACCCTTTTGATAGTTAACAAATATCCATGCAATGGATTGAGAGCACAGTATGAAGAATAACTGGAGACTATGAAACTTCTTGAATTAATTTAACTTCAACCCCAAGCAATATCCTTTTTAGTTTTGGAAAAGAAAAATATGTGAGAGTAAATCAGCTTGGTGACTCAAGTTCAAACCTGAAGTCCGGTCTGTTAGCCTGTCGGAAACAGTAGAAGATATGCTTCCTCTGCCTTTCTAGTTGTTCATATTCCTGACCTTCCCTGCCACCAAAAATAATTCCCATTCCCACGCTTACTAGTCTTCCCCACACATAAAAGAGAGATTACAAATTCAGTTTTTCTTTGTGTATTTTTCCTCTGCAAAATATAAAGCAAATCATTAGTAAAGACTTACCTATGAAGGCAATTCTGGTGAAAGGCAAAAGAAAGCCACAGCAATTACTTTTCTATCTTTTATCGTTAGTTTCTGCTAGTGTTGATGATAGTTTCCCGATAATTCCAAAACATTTTACATTGCCAGATACTTTTTCTTAACCTCCCATCTCAGAACATCAACAGGAAAGTAACCAGAGTGAACTACAAAAGTGAACCAATGGTACTGAAATACGAAGTAAATTTTTAGGTATTCAGGTCATGAGGACAATAAGTAGACTGAGGAAAACCTAACTAATCTCAGGAAATGTTCTTAATACAACCATGGGATTTCTGTTTGATAAATTCTTTTTCTTTTTTTTTTCCTTTACGGACATTGTTAAAGAAACTAATAATTCCTACAAAGGAAAATGAAACCTGTAGGTATGAATAGATCATTAATATCACATACATACGATTCTGGGCTTATCGATTTGATGTGGTTCATTCTCATTCTCAACCATGAATTGCATTTAAAATTTTGAGTGTTCTCCACATGTAAATGATAACAGATACAGATACAGCATCATAACTGACCTTAGAAAGCCCTCCCATTAAGTGGGGTCATGACAACTTTCTTGAAGTTTCTGAAAGGAGACCCACACCCAGGTAAAACAGTTCGTATCTCAGTTCGTGCCCTTACTAGCTTATATTTGGGCACATCAAGCAACATTTTTGCATCTCATTTATTATCATCTCTAAAATAATAACTACCTAGCTTATTCCCCCAGCAATACAATTTTTTTTTAAGAATTACGGTTCTTCATTAAGAACATAAAAGCCAAAATGGGACAATACCCATTTATAAATCTTTATGTCTTTGTTTTTTTTTTCTTTTCTGTTCAAAAAGAAAAGAATAAGAGAATAATGACACTTGTATCATATTGTTGAGGATATTAATTGTGATAAAGTTCACAGCACCTGAAACACAATAGGTGTTTGATAAATGTTTCTTCCCTTCTCTAGGAACTTTCCATTTCACAATTGGGCAAATTCCATTGGAAATTTTGGCAATTCGAATCAGTACTGTTTTACTGTCTGTCAGCCCTTGACCCTACTCTTATCTCGTCCCACATCACCTTCCTGTATTTCCTGGCCTTTCCCTTCCAAGAGCCAAGGTCATTGCCCATCTCCCTGACCAGGGCCATCACTTTGCGCCTGTCAGCGATGGCACCCCTGACCCGTCTTATCCGCTGGGGCGAGTCTCAGAGACTCTAAGACCCGACTGGGTTAAAGCAGTGGCCAGCTGGGGCTGATCACTCCCAACCCCGATCTTCTTGCTCATCCTCCTTGCTGTCTGGCCTCGGAGAAGGAAAAGGAGAAGGGAGGGCATCATTGGAGTGATGACATGTGTGTCTTCTTGCTCATCCTCCTTGCTATCTGGCCTCAGAGAAGAAGGAAAAGGAGAAGGAAAAGGAGAAGGAAAAGGAGAACAAAAAGGAGAAGGCAAGGCATCACTGGAGTGATGACATGTGGCTCTCTCCCTTCTCTGCCCTTCACATTTTTCTTTCCACGTGCAGAACTGGGAAGGCTCTGACCACCCCTGCCCCCGCGGTTGCCATGGTTACACAATAGCAGCAGCACCAGACCCAGGAGATGTCTCAGACCTCTCCTCTACCTCCGCCTCAACCCTTCCCTCTCTGTTAGGAGATCCTCCCCCTCGTCTCTGCGCGCCCCCACCCCGCCATCCCCCGCTAGCGCACACATGCAGGAGAACCCTTTTTAGGCTAAACCGGAAAGTTTAGGTCTTCTCCCCTCTTCTTTTGCTTGTGCAAATAGCACTAAGCTAAACGGAAAGTGGTGGGGTTTTGGTGATGAAATAAGAGTCCACGCACAGAAGCTTGCCTTTTATTACCGCTTCGCTCGAGGCGAAATCGCTGAAAGTTCGGCTATTTAACTCCTGTCCCCATAACTCGGAATCCCGGACACCAGCGGCCCCAGCTGCTGGCGCGCGGCTCTCTTCCAGTCCCCTGGATCCCAAAGCTCCCTGCCACAGCGCGGCGTCTCCTCCTCCTGTCAACTTCCCTCCTTGCACTGTGACGGAGGCAAAGCAACTCAGCCCAGGAGGTTGAACTCGAGTCATCAGAGAAGGAGAAACAGTGCCGAAAACGGCCCGTGCGCTACCAGGGTAGCCCATTAACGCATTAACTCCAGGCTCGTTGGGCAGAAGCCGGGAGGAAACACCCTGGGGACCGCACTCCTGGTTAAATGCCCAGCACGAGTCAAATCCGGCCTTTCCAAAGCGAGCCAAGCCCACTACTACAAAGAGATCCCCCGAGTGTTTTGCCTTAACCACATTTCAGACAGCCAGCTTTGTGGCTGCTGTTTGACTCCAACTTTCCCTCTAAATCTAAAAGGATGCACACTTCCATCAGACGGAACGTCGCGATTCCCCGGCGAAGAAAAAGGCGTCGCCCATTCCTCTTCCAAAACGCTACAACAAAAACCACCACGCTTCCCTTCCTTCTTCCTTGCCCCTTTCCCTTCTCCCAGACCAACAAGGAAAGGAGCGAGCGAGGGCGCAGATGCCCTTTGGTCAAGTACTCCCCGGATGTTCCCGACTAAAGCGTCTCCAAATGAACCTGCAGCCTGCGGAAGCCGGGGACACATTCATAGACGCTCTCTGCTGCCCAGACCAGGAGGGGTGGTGGGGGAACCAGGAAGCCAGGGAGAGAGCAAAGTTCCTGGACGCGTCTCAGGAGGAAAACTTTGTGCAGTGCTGCCAGGCGGAGGCTCGTCAGAAGGCTCCGCAGCTGCTGAGGCGGGGTGGGACTGCGCCCCAGGGGCCGCGCTGAAGCTGGCGCCGCGATTACTGCGCACCGATTTCGCCCACTCTCTGTCCGCTCCCGGGAGCCTTCTCTGTCTCAGGACGGTTCCTTATCTCCCAAACCATGCTCGTCCTCCACTTCGGACCCACAGCCACCCCCAAATCCCGGCTATCCCCGCTTAGCACCGCGGTCTCCAGCACACCCTCCCACTGGAGTAGCAGGTGACCCAAACCAGACTTACCTGCTGTGAACTCTTCTCTCCCTCTCTCTTTTCCTGGTGCCTTTTCAGGGAGAGGGGAACGGGATGCAGGCTGAGGTCCAGCGGCGCGGCAACCCGGGGCACCGGCGCGCGTTCCTCTGAGCCGCAGCCCTGGCTGAGCAAGCGGAGCCGCCGGCAGCCCTGGCAGAGCCGGGAAGCTGCGGCCGCAGGGGCCAGGCCGGGAGGCAGGGGGCGCTGCTGCCTCCCCCGAGAGCCGCGCTAGGACAGGCGGAGAGCAAGGCACCAGCTGGAGCTTTGGGGAGGAGAGGGTGGCGAGGAAAGGCACGCTCCAAACAGGAGGGCGGCTTTTAAGTTTGTGGTGTGACCGCAGCAGCTGTCCTGGGAGAGACTCAGTCTTTCTAAAAAGAGGATGCTGAAAACGCCGGGGATTACCTTTCCCCTTCCGATCTCCTCCCCCAGCCCTCGCCCCCTCCTTCCACTGCGCACGCCAGAACTCCCAAGCGTGCAGAAGTTCATCCCTGCTGCGCGGAGGCTGCCAGCAGCGTGGATTTAGAGGTAGCCCTGGCCAAGCGCTGACGGATGTTTATCAGGACAGGGCACCCTATGTGTAAAGCAACCTCTAACGTCTGATCTTCCTTCTGGGTGACTTGGGGACTTCTTTAGTTCCTTCTCTATACCATAAAACCTGTTAAGGGACCCCATGAGGAAGAAACAGGGAGAGTGACCACAAACACCGTCCTAAAAATGCTAATCCCACAAAACAGTACCTGCGTTCCACTATGTAAAACCTCAATCCACGGTTAATGGCCTTGACAAGGCAGGCATAGGGATGAGGAACAGGGATCAACCCTCCGTTAAGGGGCTGGCACCCGATTAAGACCAAACAGGGAGAGATAAAAACGAGTAGAATGTAATCCTTTCTTCCTCTTTCCCTTACGCCAGACCTACAAAGAGGTGTGCCTCATATCCTTGTCTTCGGGAGTTTTTTAGATTTTTGCACCCCTTATTCACACAGTAGGAACTTAGAAGTATATAATGACGAGAAGATCTAAGTTTTGATGAACCTGGATCCTATGCAATTGGAATAGAGGATCCTCTTTAAGCAAAAGTAATGCAGAAATATCTCACTTCTACAGATTCTGCAAAAATATATGACAATGAGAGTTCATGAGGCCACCGTCAGGGACATTAAAAAGGCCTGTGCATTTGGTGAGCCCTGTACGTTAGGCATTTTTAGCTGCATGGTAAATCCTTTGTGATGGGATATCCAGGTTTATAGTCACACACCTTGCCCTTAGTCCCAAACATAAATCTGACATGAGGTAGAGACATGGAAAGCAAGCAGCCACGGGATCCTGCATTTGTCAGCTTGATTTAAGAGCACAAGGTGTAGGGTCCCAAAGCTTCCTTAGCAAGTAACAAGAGATATCTTGATTTGGAGATGGTGAACAGACAAATGCAGTAATGGAATAACTGAAAGGGGTGGAAGACATTCTTCATTTGACCTTTTATCTGTGGCAGAGGGCTGAGGGCCACAGAAGCTAAAGGAGTCATTTTAAGTTATAAATGGTTGATGGCAGAGTCAGGCTAAGGAAAGGCTCAGGTTTCTCAAATCTGACCAAGGCTCTTTCTTGTGTCTCATGCTGCCCCATCTCTATAACCTTGGTTTGGACTCACAACCAATCAACCCCATAAATACCCTCTTTGGATAGAGAAAAAAATTTTAAATCCTCGTAGACTATTTCAAACTATAGCAACTTTTATTTTTTTTCTGAATGCTTTATATTTAATGTTATACCACTCATTCTGTACATAGTCATGCAATTGTTTATTGTATGTTTCTATGTGTTTATATTATTTTCATTTGTATATGTCATTGCACTTCCATGCAAATTGCAATGTCATTGTGCAAATAAAATATCTCTTTTTTTCTCCCGTATATGGTGGGTTTATAGTAAGTAGTTTTTGATTTTTAGAAAATCTCTATTTTTAAACTTTTAAATAATTTTGTCAGTTTATTGGCCAGAATTTTGTGTTTAACTAGAATTGTGGTTAACTTTGGATTTCCCATTTTCCTCCTTTCTCTTTTAAGTTGTAGCTTAATATGCTTAAACCAAATGACACCTTCCTTTGCTACCATTCAATACTTTCCATAAAGCCCTTACAGAATTAATCACTCCCTCCTGTTTTCCCAAAGCACTTTGATTTCACTACTATAATAAGCTCTTTTCACTTTATATTATAATTAGTTATGCATGTGTCTGCATCCCATACAAAAGTGTTGGCTGTTTTGTGTCTTTGTTTCTTCAGCCTCTAATACAATGCCTGTGACATTGTATTGTACTGATTTAGTTTGAGATGCTCAGACTTCAAATTTAGACAGAATTTACCAGAGTATCCTGAACATATCATGAGAAAACAACATCTGGAACGTGAATTCTGTGCTTTCCTTCCTTTTAATGACTCTGAGCACAAAGCAGATGGAATCAACTGTTAATATGTTGCCCAATGTGATGAATGGCCTCAGCTGTGTCCATGGCTCCGTAATCTTCAGGCTGCTTCCCTGAATGTCTTGAATGTGTTAGGTGCTTAACAAATATTTGTGTGTTAAACGAGTTAATAAAAACAGTAGAAATAATGTTAATATTCAGTCACTGGATTTATTTCTGAATTTCTAATAACTGTATAGGGTCCCACCAAGATAGTTTTAACAACCCTTTCTAAGAGTTTGAGATCTACTTTCATCAAAAGCAATTTGGTATTCTGTCCTATAGGGCTAATACCCTATCTAAATTCTTAAAATAAAACCCAGTGGGAAAAAAAGTATATTTTACAAAAAGTTTTGCTAAAATACAAGGTGTATTGTGCAGTTTAGTTTGTCTTCAAGGGTGACTATTCAAGATTTAACGAGTGAGCCTTAATTTCACTGAAAGCGATGTGTATATCATCAGTTAAAACCACCTAATTGTTGCTTGTATGCCTGTTTCAGTCCAAGGGGAAAAATACAAACAAAAAGAAAAAGGAAAGAAAACAAATAACTTTCATGTTCTTGGAAACATTATTGAATAAATAAATTGTGTGCCTTGAGAATCTAGGCTATTCTGAGACATACTACTCCTCACCCATCTCTATTTGGGCTCACAAATATAATATGAGTAAGTAATTTTCATTTTATGGTAGTAATATGTGTTAGGCAATATGAAATACACTATTTCTCAAAGGATCACATTTAATGCCAAACAAATCCAAAGAATAAAATTCTAATTGTAGAATTTCAGTAATCATCCATCTATGTTGAGAGCCATGGGAGAAGGCAGCAGGGATGGGTTAGGGTAGAATAGACATATTGTAGGCTTCTCCAATTCCACATATAGCTACCTCTGAACAGAAGACAGGAGAAAGGTAATTACTGGGTCCAGAGCTTAAATCTAGCAGAAGATTTGGCTGTCCTCTCAGCAGAAGATACTAAAACCAACAAAATCTACAATCCTAGTTCTCTCTGAACAGTTTTATATTCACAAATCAAATGAAAATTTGGTGAATTTGAAAGAAAATTATTGATGAAGGAGACCTCAAAGTTTATACACAGAGGCAAACAAGAAAAATTGTGTTAAAAAGCATGTCATTTTAATGTTTACTTCTCTAAAACTAGTCATACCTTAGTCATTCAGAAAACCTCTCTGTCTTATAATAAATATCACCTTATAAACGTTTTCTCATATATCACCTTATCAGCACTGACTGATAAGAAATGTTGTTATCCTCATCCAAGAAAATCGGCGTGTATGTTAAGTTACATCTAGTTGGAACAAGTGAGTGCATGAGTTTAAAGCAGCTCACCCAGCCCCTTATCTTCTATTAGCTATTTTCTTCTTATAAACTCCAGGTATTTTTTTCCATCTATTTCATTTGATCGTAGCAATACACTCATCACTGGATCATTAGATATTTACATTATAAAATCATCTGATGTGTTTAATGGTGGGGAAAAAAACACACCTGACTTTCATCTTTTATTTCTGTATTAATTATAATACATAGAACTCTCAGAAGTAAATGCATCCCTGCTTCTCATCATCAGATAAAGACAGAAAACAGTTTATCTTTAGTTAATTGGTATGTAAAACTGTCCAAACTTTGCTTCATACTTTTAAGTTTTAAACTCTTATAAAATCATAAATAATCATAAACATTCATAGTCAGAAGACACCTCAAAACCTTCTATCCCTCATGTTAGACACAAGGAAACCAGGGCCAAGGAAGACATAGTTATCACTCAGCTCCTTATGACTTCTGACTTGATGCCCTCTGTAGAATATTTCACCCTGCTATAGAGACTTTTCTTAAAAAAAGAAAAGAAAAAAAAATCAGCTATTTTTCAAAACTGTCCAAGCCAGAATCTTAAGGCTATATTTACTTAGCTGGGTTGGGGTGTGGTGAATAATTAAGTTCAGCAGGAATGTGCTTCAAAATAAAAATAAAAACACAGTCCAGCCTCTTTGGCCCAAATCCTGAGACTTCAGAAAAGAAAATCCTTCTTGACTACCAACATTCACTAGAATTTGGAACGGTTTTCCACGCCTGATATAGGAGTCTATATGGTTGTTGCAGATTGGGATAATTTAGTCAGATAAATGGCTTTTTGTGTTTGATTTGTAACAATGT
Organism: Homo sapiens; assembly: GCF_000001405.40. NCBI lineage: Eukaryota > Metazoa > Chordata > Mammalia > Primates > Hominidae > Homo > Homo sapiens. Next base: position 85,191,322 of record NC_000007.14, read on the forward strand.
ACTTATATCAATAAACAATCCCCAAGGAAGGATTTTAAGGAAAAATAAACAACTTTCCTATGCACAATATAAAAAATCATCTTTAAGTTTTCTTTTTAAAAATACTTTCATACTACCACCATTCTACCCTTACAGCATGTTTTAGATACAGTGTATTCTTCTAAGAAAATGAGGTTGAGGAGGGAATTCCTGTGATACCCAGCTGAGGCAAGCCTTATTTGTGTATGAGTGACGAAATAAAGAAAAATATGCCCTCTTGTGGCTTATTTGTTCTGGTTCACAATTAATCAACAGTACTCTATTATTTCCTGAAACCCAGACATACCTGTATTCCAAGTGGAATTAAACTATTTCTTTGTGCAGTAACTGGCAAGAGCAGGTCCATACAGACAGCAGGAAGGCATTCCAACACTTCTGCTTTGTTCAAGGTCATAAGCAGCTGCTTAGCCACAGTGAAATCAGTATCCCTGAAAAGGAAGATTTTCCAAAATAACCCATAAATTTATATAGATATTATCAAAATCCCTTCCAAATAAATGCATTAGATAGAGTTTCTTTGCTAAATATTGAGGTTTGTTTTGGATAGACTTAAACCATCAGTTTCCACAAATGGGAGAAAATTCATGATTTGCTTTTCTACTATATTTGTGCCTCTACTATTTCTTTGACTGTAAGACATGTTTATTTTTCCACTATGAAAAGTGAAGTGTATAATAAAGCATTTAAGATAATAGTGATTTTCATTCTTGCATATTTTTATCTCCTTTTGCCCTACTTTACTCAGAAATTAGGATGTAAAAAGTGTGTTACATATTGTGGGCTGCAGATATAATTAATTTTATAATATTACAAAAAATGCCCAACATGTTTTTCTAAAACAACAAAAATGAAAATGGGTTTAGTGGGGAACAGTTTCTGATCAAGAAAATGACTTTCATACAAAATGTCATTTAAGTAACTTAGTAACTAAGTGAATGTCAAAGGCTTAAAACAAGCCAGGTGGCTAAATTTTTAGTTCAACTCTATAATAATAACTATTATTATTTTTAGTATTATTATTATACAGACAATGAAACTTAAAGTTAAGCGACTTAAAAATAAAATATTTACCATCTGACTGTAATTCCTTTGTTCATTAAGTGAGCTAGTAGGGCACTTCTAATCTTCACCCTTAATTTAGCAAGTTACTACCGAACTAGACCAAATTCTATCTTACTAATCAGAAAGAATAAATGCAACTTCTCAAAGTGCCCAATTTAACGTCGGAGCTACTGCTTTTCTAAGGCACACAGTAACATAGAATCATGTTGCTTTAAGCCTATTTAGTATAGTGAACATTTTGACCTTTGATGCACTGATGTACTTTCATTAGAATTATTTGGAAATAATATTCACGAAAGAGTTTAGGACTTTTAATTTCATTTTAATGTAGTGAATAATATTGTGTCATCATAATACCATTAACAAATTGTATTCTTTTTCTATTTGCCACTTCAATAAAATTACTTTTCCTTATATCAAGCAAAGTTTTACTTTCCAACTTTTATTCTTGAGTTTGTCAAAAAGAAAGTCTACATTAGGAGTCTATGATAACCCATTTATTTTTAAAAATCTCTACTTTTACTACATTTAAAACTTACAATTCTAAGAAAAGAAGATAATTACAAAAGATGATAACATAGCCGTTAACTTCTGGGTTTCAGTCCAGCATGTAAGGAGCTTAGCGGCCAGCACTTCATCCCAACAAGAAGTAAAAAAACTGAACAAAATGATGAATCAACAGTTCTTCTTGGATCGCTCAGAGAAATAAGCTCATGGGGCAAATTCTGTCCACCAAATGGGAGAGACAGACAGGGGGACACAGAATCACAATTTACCAGGACAAAAATCACAGGAACTTTCTTCAGGTGGGAAAACCTGCATGGAAATTCACAAGTTAATGGAGGCTTGGAGTGGACAAGTCTGAGATTAAAACACTCCAGGGAGACCCAAACAAAGGATGATCCCTACATTTTTGTGAGCTTTACATCCTGGAGCTGTAACTGGTCCTCACAAGAAGTATCAAGAAAAAAATGTCCCCTCTGCCTTTAGCAGGGAGAGAGAAAGAAAATAATCATTTAAAAATACTGTGGAATATTCTGTTCTCGTTGGCAAAGCTACCTTCAGCAGAAACTATATGACCAGCGTCTAACCTGCTGGGATTTTATCAGAGCCTAAGTAACATGGGAGAAGGGATATACTCAAAGCCAGCCTGCTTTAGCCTACCACTTTGCAAGTAGAAAATATTCAACTCCAGCCCTTTCTGGTCATCCTATCCCACATAATGGAGGGGGAAACAAAACAAAACAAAACTGAGAAGCAATGATGAAGTTCACAGTTCAGGGGCACAAGTTTAACAAAAGACTGGGACCTAACCATAGCACTGAAGGATACTTCCTCTTCTTCTGGATCTTACCACTACATTGCTAAAATTTTATGGCTGCAGTTCTTTTTATATAGTATATCATGCCCATCTTTCAACAATAACAACAAAAATTATAAACCATACTAAAGGAAAAAAAAAAAAACGCAGTTTAAAGAGACAGAGCAAGCATCAGAACCAGAGTCAGATATGGCAGGAATGTTGGAATTATCAGACTAGGTACTTTAAAAACCTGTGATCAGTATGCCAAGGGTTTAATGGAAAAAGTAGAAAGCCTGGTAGAGTGATTAATTTTTGTAGATAAGCTTTATACCATGCAACCTTGCTATAATGCTCATTAGTTCCAAGATAGTTTTTTTGTTGATTCCTTCAGATTTTCTAAGTAGATGATTATGTTATCTGCAAACAAAGATAGTTTTATTTCTTCTTTACCTATCAGTCTGTCTCTTATTTCTTGTTCCCATCTTGTTGCACTAGCTAGGAGTTTCAGTACTTTTTTAAAAAGTAGTGGTGAGAGGAGATAGCATTGCTTGTTTCTGATCTTAGTGATAAAGCTTTGAATTTCTCACCATTAAGTATGAAGTTAGCACTAGGATTTTTGCAGATGTGCTCTATCAAGTTGAGGAAGTTTGCTCTATTCTCGTTTGTTGACAGTTTTCATCATGAATGGGTGTTGGATTTCGTCTAATCCATTTTCTGTATTTATTGATAAAATTTTATGTGTTTTTTCCTTTTCTTTTGACTGTTGATATGCAAACAGAAAAAAAAATAGCTTCATTGTTTTCAGGTAAACTCAGTCAATGATTTTTCAGCCATTTAACGTTTTAATCATATTTCAATCCAGGGTTCTACAGTTTTTTGCTTTCTCCCAATGGTAGCATTTAAATTCAAAGAGGGCTTAAATAAATCTAGGAGTGGAAGGGAGGTATATTGGTTTTCTAGAGCTGCCATAATAACTAACACAGAGCAGGTAGCTTAACAAGAGAAATTTATTTTCTCACATTTCTGGAGGCTATAAGTCAAAGATCAAGGTATCATCAGGGTTAGTTTATTCTAAGTTCTTTCTAATTAGTGTGTAGATGGCCATCTTTTCTGGTGTTTTTCCATCATCTTTCGTGTGTGTGTGTCCTAATCTCCTCTTCTTATAAGGACATCAGTTATATTGGATTAGGTTCCACCCATATGATCTATTTTACCTGACTTACTTTTTTAAAGACCCTATATCCAAATACAGTCACATTTTGAGGTGCTAGGGTTTAGGACTTCAATACATATGAATTGGTGGAGGTCACAATTCATCCCACAAAAGGAATGAAGGGCATTTTTTGTTTAGAGACATTTTCTTTCTTCCATTGGCATACATTAAGATGAATACAAAGCCGCCTGCTAGGATTTATCTTGTTTTCCCATTGTATCTGTGAAATACCTACAGTTTAGTTATGGCATCCAGTTAAAAATCCCCCTTATTCTGCCCCTTATTTTAAACACTAGGTTCCTTTGGTTAAATGATAGTAAAGGACATTAGTACCTTGCTTCTGGGCCTCTGTAGCTAGCAGCCTCACAGTTGTACCCCATAAATACAGTGGGGTAGGCTTGACCAAAGGTACAGGATATTCTATAATCCCCAGACTTTGCCAAACATTGGGAAACTGAAGAAAACCCATATTTTAATCTAACTTTTTCTTTCTCCTTTTTTTCTTTTTTTTTGAGACAGTGTCACCCAGAATCTGAGTCGCTCTCTCATCCAGGCTAGAGCTAGAGTGCAGTGTCATGGTCACAGATCACTGTAGCCTCGACCTCCCATGCTCAAGCACTCTTCTCACCTCAGTCTCCTGAGTAGCTGGGGCTATAGGCATGGGACACCTCACCCAGCTAATTTTCAACTAATTATTTTACTTCTTCAACTCAGCGCTGATTTTTCCCAGAATGGTCAAACTTCATATAGCCCTGAGTAGGGATAGTCTGGTTTTTCACCTATTGTCCTTCTTAACTCTTTTTTTATGGCATATACTATATTTTTTAGAATTTACAAAGTTGAAAACAAACAAAGAGACTTTTTGGGAAAATACTAACCCTTGAATTTTGAGATACTGCTAGGCATTTAAAAAAGTCTATTCAGAAATCTTAAAGTTGAAAGTTGGCTTTGTTTTATTCAATTCCTTCGTCTTCCTTTCAGTAAGTGATCACATAGTTCATGGAACACTTAGTTACACAAAGCATGATGAGTCCTGAGGTAATCAGGAATTGCTGAGATAAAATATTTGTACCTCAAAAATGTTATTCCAAAATGTATGGCATATATAACCAAAGATGCTATTTAAAATTTGTGAGACAAAGATACATAATCAATAGTTTTAGAATAGAATGATGAATGAAATATTAAGAAAATTTAGCAGCTTTTTCCCCCGCAACATTTCTCCAAATAGAATGCATGCATTAACGTTTTGAATGTAAAAATGAACTGACATGCTCAAGGAAAATTGGAGACCCGTAATACAAATATAATAAAAGTGAATCTAGAATCCTACCTCACACCCAAACAAAATAATTCCAGAGGGATTTGATCTAACAGTGAAAGGAAAAACAATATCATTTAGAAAACAAACAAACAAACAAACAAACAAACATGGAAGAATATCTTCATGAGCTTAGAGTAGAAAAAGGTAGTTTGAACAGTACACAGAAATGTTAACCATAAAGAAAGAGCTTCATAAATTGGACTGTATTAGATTAATAACTCTGGTCATCAAAAGAAACAATTAAGAAAGTAAAAAATCAAGCCACAGAGTGAGCGAAGTTATTGTCAATCCATATATCTTCACATCCTTTACATATGCAGAATATGTAAAGGATTTACTTGAATCAATGAGAAAAAGGCAACCTAGTAGAAACAGGGAATAAAGACTAGAAAAGACTTTTCATCTAAGGGGTATTCAACAGCTATTAGAGATCCATAAAAATATTTTTTAAATTTTATAAAAGGATATTCAAAAGTCCAATAACTTTTGTAGTGATCAAGGAAATGCAAATAAAAACCACAATGTGATTCTACTACATTCCCACAAAAATGACTAAAATGAAAAAGACAAAATGCCAATAGTTACTGAGGATGGAAGTATCAGAATTCTCATGTACTGTGGGTGGAAATATTTGTAAAACCACTTTGGAAAACCCTGAGGACTAAACTCTGATTTTTTTATCTTGCCCAAATTCCTGTTTAAGAGGTCTGGGGAGTCATGCCCTACAAATCATAAATTCTCATCAGATTTTTTTTTTAATTTAATCCTGTATATTGTGACTTACTTCCCAACCTGACTCTGTCATAACATTACAAGACAAGGAAAAAAATGAACATGTTTTATCCAAAAACATGTTTCTTTGCCATATCTTGAAATGGCCCTGCAAAGCTGTCCTTTGTGGGGGAAAATTTGCAACTGGAAAGAATCTCTATTAACATAGCTAGATCTTTTTCTTCCAGGCCCTCCCAATCCTAAAGAGATTAACTAAAAGCCTAGCACCTTTTAAATATCTGAATAGGAAACAGTTGGCATCTATTGCCTCTAAGGGCAGCCACTATAAGACTTCAAAAGAACCTTGGTCTCCACAAATCTTAACCTGAATGTTTCCTTTCTGTGATCCCAGGTTTTTAGATAAACCCAACCAATTTTCAACCAGAAAATGTTTAAATTTACCTGTATTACCTATAGCCTGGAAACCCCCACCACCCCCACCACCCCTGCTTTGAGTTGTCCCGCCTTTCTGGACCAAACCAGTATATTTCTTAAATGAATTTGATTGATGTCTCATGTGTCCCTAAAATGTATAAAACCAAGCTGCACCCCGACCACCTTGGGCAGATGTTCTGAGGACCTCCTGAGGGCTGTGTCATGGGCCATGGTCACTCATATTTGGCTCAGAATAAATCTCTTAAAATATTTTACAGACTTGGACTCTTTTCATTGGCAACCCTTTGGCAGTATAGATTAAAAACTAAATGTTTTAATAACCTATAACCCTGCAATTCTACTCATAGAGCCCAAGAAATATATTTCCAACAAAGAAATGGACAATAATGTTCATGGCAACACTCTCTGAAATAGCCTCACATTAGAAATCACTCAAATTATTCTCAACAGTAGAATGGATGAATATATTGTGCAAAATCCAATAATCAAAAGAAGGTTATACAGCAACAAAAATAGATGTAACTACACCAACAATGTACATGTCTTTAAGAAAATTAGTAGTCCTTAAAAGCAGACACATTCACAGTATGATTTATGGTTTTCACCATACAAAGCCTTCTCATTTATAGGAATAAACAAATTGATGCTAAGATTCATATAAAAAATAACCCCACAAGATTAGGAGAATTGACTCTTTTTGATATGACTCTTCCAAACCAATAGTAACAACTTCACTCCATTTCTTCAAGTTTCCTTTTTGTCTTTCAAAAATGTTTTAAAGCTTTTTCCCGTACAGGTTTTGTCTGTTTCTTAATGATATCATTACTAGGTATTTTAACTTTATCACTGATACTGATAAGTAAGGCTTTTCTTTCATTATATTGTCTCACTAAATATTGTTTTTGTATATAAAGCTTATTGATTCTTGTGTGTTAGTTTTATATTCTGCAAACTTTTGGAATTACTTTATTGTTTTCCTACCTTTATCATGGATCCTTTGGGATTATTCAGGAATACTATTATATAATTGAGATTAGCTTGGTTTTAAAGGTTTGGTGAAAATTTTTAATAACTATTTCTTCTGTAGAAGTATAACCTTCTATCTCTACTGGGATAAATTTGGATAAATTATATTTTCCTTTGAATGTTATCTATTTTGTTTAGGTTCATCATTTTATTTGCATACTGTTGGGCAGAGTCACTTAATGTTTTAATTTTTTCTTTCCATAATTATTACCACTTGTAATTTATTAGGTTTATGTTTTCTTTCTTTTATGTTTTAATTTGGTTATCTAATAATTATTTTAATTGTTTTTAAAGTTTTTTATTAACTGGTTTAACTGTTTTTCTTTTTTAAAATTTATTAACATTTTGCTTGTCCACTAATTATTTTCTTTTTGCTCCTTTTTTTTTTTCAAGGGTTTTCTATTTGTTCTTTAACTTTTTTGGGAAAATTTACTTCAATCCTATTCCTTCTTTTATTTGTATTACTAAAAATGTAAATAGCCATACATTTTCTTACGATTACTACTTTATACCAATAGTGTCTCAAATGTAGTGTTTTCGTTAACATTAGTTTTCAGATTTTTATTTCCTAATTCCTCTTTCTCCTGTATATTAATAGAAGTTCTTTTTTAAATTTCCGGATAAAGAGACATCATTATTATTTTTAATGTCTAGTTTTTAATTGTGTTATTTTCTAAATCTATTGTAGCTCTGTGAGAAAATATTGCTTGTAATATTCATGGTAATTTTGGGGATTTGAAGGGCCAAATATATGTTTAATTTTCATGACTATTTCTTGTGCACTTGAGATTAAGGCATTTTTCTGTTACCATGTATATTTGCATAAGATTATGTTGCTTAAGTCTTCTTTAACATTATCGTTATTATCATTATTTGCTCTACTTGATTTTTGTATGGAGAATGGTGTGTTCAAGTATTCTGCATTTAGTGTTTTTCAGTTTCCTTTGCATCACTTGTAGTTTCTACTATATAAAGCTAGTTGTTTTGTTAGTTGTTTAGCTATTCATAATATTGTGTATTGTGGTCTTTAGCATTATAAAGTATACCTTTTAATGCCTTTTGACCTACTGTACCTTGTCTGTTATCAGAAATCCAATCTATCTTCTCTTATTTACTTTTTCAAATACACCTTCACCCATTCCTTTATTTTTAGCCTTTTAGAATCACACCATTTTAAATTTGTCCCATGCATTCAGCATATAATTGAGTTCTAGATTATGAGCCAGTTTGAAAATGTTTATCTTTTGTTTTATCCTTCACTTTTTTCTTGTTGATACTGTTAATTTTGAATAGATATGATTTTCATCAGCTAAAATTGTTCATTCTCATTTTCTGCTTTTTTTCCCACTGAGTTTGATATGGTTTGGCTGTGTCCCCACAATTCCCATGTGTCATGGTAGGAACTCAATGGGAGGTGTTTGAATTATGGAGGCAGGTGCGCTGTTCTCATGACAGTGTATGAGTCTTACGAGATCTGATGGTTTTAGAAGAGAAGTTCCCCTGCACAAACTCTCTCTTTTTCTCCACTGCCATCCACGTAAGATGTGATTTACTTCTCCTTGCCTTTGGCCATGATTGTAAGGCTTTCCCACCCATGTGGAACTGTATGTCCATTAAACCTGTTTCTTTTGTAAATTGCTCAGTCTCAGGTATGTCTTTATCAGCAGCATGGAAGTGGATTAACACAGTAAGTTGCTAAAAGTAGAGTGGGGTGTTTCTGAAAAGATACTAAAAAATGTGGGAGTGACTTTGGAACTGGGTAACATGCTGGGGATGGAACAGTTTGGAGGGCTCAGAAGAAAACAGGAAAATGTGGGAAAGTTTGGAACTTCCTAGAGACTTGTTGAATGGCTTTGCCCAAAACGTTGTTAGGGATATGGACAATAAAGTCCAGGCTGAGGTGGTCTCAGATGGAGATGAGCAACTTGTTGGAACTGGAGCAAAGGTGACTCTTGTTATGTTTTAGCAAAGAGCCTGGTAGTATTTTGCCCCTGCCCTAGAGATTTATGGAACTTTGAACTTGAGAGAGATAATTTAGGGTATCTGGCAGAAGAAATTTTCTGCAACAAAGCATTCAAGAGGAGACTTGGGTGCTGTTAAAGACATTCAGTTTTATAAGGGAAGCAGAGCATAAAAGTTTGGAAAATTTGCATCCTGACAATGCAATAGAAAAGAAAATCCAATTTTCTGAAGAGAAATTGAAGCCAACTGGATAAATTTGCATAAGTAACAAGGAGCTGAATGTTAATTGCCCAAACAATGGGGAAAATGTCTCCAGGGCATGATAGAGGTCTTCAGGGCAGCCCCTCCCATCACAGGCCAGGAGGCTTGGGGGAAAAAATGGTTTAGTGGGCCAGGCCCAGTGTCTCCATGCTGTGTGCAGCCTAGGGACTTGGGGCCCTGCATCCCAGCCACTTCAGCTGTGGCTGAAAGGGGCCACAGTAGAGCTCAGGCCATGAAAATGGACTAATACACAGTTGTATATGGATTTTATTTTATTCTATCTTTGCTAATTTCTCTTCTCTTTGAATTGTCTCATATTTGCCTAGACCAGCAATAATAGGTAATTTTGTAAGAGAAGTTTGGGTATGTGGATTCTCAAGTTTCTTTGTTCCACAGTATCCTCTTCTTTTGATATACCAAAAGACAGTTTTATTCATAAATGTCTGTCTTCATTTCAGGGGAGGAAAACGATTAATGGGTCTTCTGATTTTGCAGTTCTCTTTTGTTTTCATAGGATGCTTGGTTTCCACCATTTGCTCTCTTCTCTTTTGCCAGCCCCAATTTCCAAGGAATGCCTCCTCCCTAGAAGCTGTGCTTTCTGAAAACTACTAGCTTTGATCGCCTACACTTTTAAGCCCCTTCATTACAATTCCCCAGTAGTCCATGCTGTGACTCTTCTCAGTAACTTCCACTAAGTGTGGAACTCTTTCTCTTGAGTCATTTAACGTTTCCTGCTATTGCTAGGCTTCACCACCATCTCCTTTCTACTCAATCTCCTTTTTAATCTTAACCTCAGCTTGGGTTCCAGATCTGACCCTACTCATTTTGGGATGTTTATTTTATTATTTATATGTAAATTAGAGATTTTAGTAATTTATATCTACTAGTTAAGCTCTAGATCTCAGTTAAGAGTGGTTTTGTGTGTGCTCCCTCTTGTTCTTTGGGAGTTTTTAGAGGCTGTGAGGAAAGCTTTCAATTGCCACTATTCTATGGAAACCCAGAACTGAGTAGGATTTCCTTTTTCATTTCCATTATTTATTTATCTATTTATTTTTTCAGAGAGGGTCTCTCTCTCTCTGTCTCCCAGGCTGGAGCTGGAGAGCGGTGATGCAATCAGGGCTCACTGCAGCCTTGATCTCCAGGACTCAACCATCCTCCTGCCTTAGCTTCCTGAGTAGCTGGGACTACAGGTTTGTGCCACCAGGAATAGCTAATATTTTTTGTAGAGAAGGGGTCTCACTGTGTTGCCCAGACTGGTCTAGAATGCCTAGGCTCAAGTGACCCTCTCACCTCATCATCTCAATATGCTAGGATTACAGGCATGAGCTATCACACTAGTCTCTGTCTCTCTCTCTCTTTTTATTTATTTATTTATTATTATTATTTTTTATTATTATACTTTAAGTTTTAGGGTACATGTGCACATTGTGCAGGTTAGTTACATACATATACATGTGCCATGCTGGTGTGCTGCACCCACTAACTCGTCATCTAGCATTAGGTATATCTCCCAGTGCTATCCCTCCCCCCTCCCCCCACCCCACAACAGTCCGCAGAATGTGATGTTCCCTTTCCTGTGTCCATGTGATCTCATTGTTCAATTCCCACCTATGAGTGAGAATATGAGGTGTTTGGTTTTTTGTTCCTGCGATAGCTTACTGAGAATGATGATTTCCAATTTCATCCATGTCCCTACAAAGGAAATGAACTCATCATTTTTTATGGCTGCATAGTATTCCATGGTGTATATGTGCCACATTTTCTTAATCCAGTCTATCATTGTTGGACATTTGGGTTGGTTCCAAGTCTTTGCTATCGTGAATAAACTAAAGAGCTTCTGCACCGCAAAAGAAACTACCATCAGAGTGAACAGGCAACCTACAAAATGGGAGAAAATTTTCGCAACCTACTCATCTGACAAAGGGCTGATATCCAGAATCTACAATGAACTCAAACAAGTTTACAAGAAAAAAGCAAACAACCCCATCAAAAAGTGGGCGAAAGACATGAACAGACACTTCTCAAAAGAAGACATTTATGCAGCCAAAAAACACATGAAAAAATGCTCAACATCACTGGCCATCAGAGAAATGCAAACCAAAACCACAGTGAGATACCATCTCACACCAATTAGAATGGCAATCTCTTTTTTTTTAAACACAATTGCACTAAGTTGTTTTTTACTGATGAAAACTATATAGTAGAACAAAAGATACTATATGATTCTAAAGAACTGGGAAATAACTTCTGGATGATATTCTTGCATAGGTAAGAGAGGGTGAGGTCTAATACCAAATTGAAACGTTTTCATAGTAACAGGAAAGACAGTTCATCTGTGGTAAAATGAGGTAGGACAGAATTACGTGCCTGCAAAGCAGGTTGGAAGTAGATGATTTGTCATGAGATTTCAGCAGTTCTCCTCATATTGTCTCTCTTTTCTCAAAAATATGGGATTAAGCTCAGTAGCTGAAGATTGGAGAGGATGTAATGAGCAGAGAGCAGAAATATGCGATAGATATCCAGAAGAGTGTGGGTGTGGTAGTCAGCAAGTTAGCATCTTGTGTGTTTCTGTCTTAATTTATTGTAAAAATGTAAATATATTCTTACAACATGTTATATGCTTAGCTGCATGTGTTTATAGACTGATTAGAGGCAGTGTTAGATTTAACTAGAATTGAAGTTTTTCCATTTCTTTTGAATACAAAAATAATATTTTAAAAGAGACTAAAGATAAAGTTTTATTGGAGTTCAGAAGAAAAACATGCAACCGAACATTGTGCAGAATAGAGTACAGGCTTAACTATATGAATAGAATATTGTTAACAGGGCTTTTGAGCAAGATCTTGCAGGATGAACAAAATATAAGCACCTGGAAACTGTGTGGGTAGAAGAGGTTGCAAGGCGAGGCTATTTCCTGAAAAATATTTCATGTGAAGCAACTCCTGATGTGAGAATGTCAGCAGTGTTAAAGGGAATCTGAAAATTTGCAATTTTTCTGGAATGAGGATCTATCAAAGTGAACAGTAGGAAACAAGTTTGTAAAAGTAGATGTGGAAGATGTTATGGAAGGTTGTGGATGCCTGACAAAGAAGCAAGGACTTTACAGATTGAGCTAGAGAAATACAGGGGGAAAACAAAAACAAAAACAAAAACTTTGAACCTAGTAGTAATATCAATGCTTTTCTCTTTCAGAAGGCTAATCTGCCAATACCATATGTTAGAAGTGGGAGATATTGGAATAAAAAAATGCTTCTTAGAGATTATTCCATATTCCAAGGTAACAAAGATCTGAACACAAGCAATGACCCATGGAATGAGGGGAAGATTCAAGTATGAGAAATATTTAAAAATTACATGTCCTATATATTCTAGATTAAAATGTGAAAGCAGATTTTAAAATAACTACTTTTTATATTACTAATTTATAAGAAAAAAAAACACTTTTAAAAAGCTTTGAGCTCTTAAAAATGAATATATAGTGTAACACTGGAAAGGAAGAGACTCTTGCTCGACCAGAATAGACTATTACTTAATTGACCTTTTCTGCCTTAGTCATATGAGAGCAGGACTTTTCCAACTTGCAAAAGGCATTTGAAATCAAAGGAGCATTACACCAAAGAACTTGAATGAATAGACCTTTTAAACTGCAGCTATTGATCTAATACAGTTAAAAAAAAAAAAAAGCACCAGACTGTTGCCACTTAAAAATAGCCTTCCAATGTCATTTATTGATTTAGATAGACTTAAACAATAATATTTCGTAGAATCAGCTTTTAACTGGCAGTTAGTCCTCCAGGCCCAACCCAGTGTAAATCAGCTTAAACTTAAGTACTAAGTAATAACAATTTTAGTGAGGAACCATCTTAATTTTCAGTGTAGGATGATGAGAAACGGGCTCATGATAGGTACGGGAACTTACTCCCTTCCATATTGTTGATTACTATGTTCATCAACAAGGAGAGTCTTCTTGCACAGTGGTCAAGCTAAAAGGGAGCTGAGGGTACTGAATAGAGGCTTTTAGAAGTACAGAGATCTTTGGAACCAGTGTTTCCCAGTCTGACTCATTTTCTTCCTCTAGCCTTAGGAACCAGCCTTCTTGCATCCTATTTTTCCTATTATCACTCTGACTTCCATTCTTTCCAAATATAGTAAGAACTCCAACACACCATTACAGTTTTCCTTAGAACTCTCTATATCTTGAAATAAACTCAGATATATTTCAAATATCCTAATAAATAGTAACATCAGGAGCTAGAGAAAAAATTAAAGCATATAAGTTTTCTTTTTGGTAAAAGTCATTCTAATATACGTGAGATGCTATCTCAATGTGGTTTTGATTTGCATTTCCCTAATGATTAGATATTTTAAGCATTTTTTTCACAAATATGCTAGTCATTCATATGTCTTCTTTTGAGAAATGTCTATTTAGATTATTTCTCCATTTTTTACTTGAACTATTTGCTTTCTCATTATTGACGTGTTTGAGTTCCTTGTATACACTAATTAGTCCATTAGAAATATGGTTTACAGATATTACCTCCCACTCCATGTGTTGTTTCTTCACTTTATTAACAGCTTGGTGACCGTAGTTAATAAGAATACATTTGTCTATTTCAAAATTGTTTAAAAAGTAGATTTTAAATGTTCTCACCACAAAATAATGGTAAGTAGATGAGGTGATGGATACGCTAATTAGCTTAATTTAATCATTATACAAATATCAAACATCATTCTACCACATAACACTTGTAGAATTATTATTTGTCAATTTAAAAAGTGTCCTTTAATTTTTTTCTGTTTCCCTTTTTACTTTCTATTTTTCCTTCTTCTTGACCCCACCATTTTCTGTGTTCCTTTCCCTTGACATCCCTTAGTTAGAATCAATAATTTAAAATATTCCTTTAAGAAGTGTTCAGTCTCTTGGATTAAAAAAAATCAAACCCTGGGACAATTTGTCCTTCTTTTGCCTCTTTCCCCTAAATCATGACCTAGTGCTTATGTAGCCTCACAGCAGCAGTTAAGTACCAAAGCCCTGGAGTGTGATGTCTTCAGCTTCTTCTGTCCTCCAGAACAATATGCATTATCCATGTAGGTGCTGCTTGCCCTGTTAGCTTCTTCATTAAAGTCTGTAATTGGAACTAGTGATATTTTGATTTCATAAGGCCCAGCAGTGTTTCAAAACTGTCTCAGGCTTGTCTCAGCCCTCACTGTTTCTATGAAACTGTCTGAGATCTGCCTGCTATGCCCATATAGTCACAGGTCAGGCAGTTTCCTCTGCATGTATCAAAACAGTTTCCTGCTGTGACATTCTGACCTCCCTGGCAGTCTCTCCAAACTGGTAGCTAGGTCTCTTTAGCTGAGTTCCGTGAAAACTAATGTTTCTGAGGAAAATGACGTATCAGGACCTCCCTTACAGAGATCACTGAGTTGATGTGAATGTGCCAGGTTGGTGCATGGTTAGGGGCATAGCCTTCTTCCACCCTAACTTATGTAATAAACTTTCTCCTCATCAGGTTTAAATTGGGATACATTTGACAACATCATGACTCTGCTTTCATTCCTTCTCCCTTCTATTCTCCATGAACTGGAAATTACAAATATTTTTCTTCTTTTTACTATTTCCAAATATGTGAACTTACCATACATAAAATTCTTTGGCCCAGCAGGCCAAGCTTGACTCTGAACATATTAAAGGATGAAGGGGGGAAATAGACAATTTTCTTTCAGGACAATCCTGAATCACAGTACTACTGCTTGCTGTAAAATCTTATTGTTGAACATCATATGCCTATTGTAGTTCTTTTCCTAGAAATTATTTCGAAAACACTCCAGGGCTCTAGGAAACAGACACTGCTGACAGACCAAGAGACAGCCAAGGCATTTGGCAAGTGAGAAGCACATGAAGAACTTTTAAAATTTCAACCAGTTACATGTTCTTAGGTATTAATGGACTGTCTTGGAGATCTAAAGATTAAAGAAAAATACTCAAATGCTTAAAATGCTCAATTTGGAGAAGATGGCCAGATGATTATCTAGATCACTTTTCTCCACCAAAATGTGGGTGCATCTTGACATGGGCCTGGAGAGGAGGAGGAAAAGAATGGGTATGTTGCACAGTCATTAAAGTGTGTCTTCAGGCTCATTGTTTGATGAAAACATGCTGTTTTTCAAATACATATATCCACATGATTGTTATTGTTTCTGAACTTTTGCATAATCAATAATCCTATAATTAATACATTTTCATCATATCCAATACATTCTGCTTCTGCTTTAATTCCTCATTAACAGATTTAATAAGGAATTTGATAAGGATTTGATCTCAGAAAACTAACACCATAGAGTCTATTTAAAGAGATTTATGGCATGGAAAATCAGTAATTGTTACATACTTATCAACTTGTCCTAGACAAGAGAACAAATAGTGAAAGCTATGATTCATTTATAAATTAAAAGCTTATAAGATTTTTTTACATCCTTTATTTGTATATTTAGAAAGTGGTTAATGTGACATGTGACAGAATTACTGGTCATAAGTAGAAAGATATCGGGGTGTTTTCATCTCCTTCAGCCAAACACCGTAAAAGAGGACAGGCTTTATAACTGCCTTCTCGTCTGTTTATGCAAGATGTTTCAATGGGGTAGAATACCAATTTTCATACATTGACAAGGAGGTTTCAATAAATATCTAAATACTGTGTTTTTAGATAATAAATACTTAATAACATCCAATGGTTGATTGCAGAGAAAACAGTTTGCCAAAAACCAGCTGTAGAAGAAATTAAAATGATATTTTTTCAAAGTGCAAATGTTTCCCATGATATTTACTGTGAAGGCCCTGCTAATCTTTCCATTTCAGGAAATGTGTGGAACAAAAGGTGTATTAAAGGAAAGTTAAGACCTGGGTGAAAATTCAGAATTTTAAAAAATTTTAAATGTCAATTACATTGCTCTGTTGCCATATATCTAGATTGACGGATTGAGAATTTTTTCCATCGTGATTTTGTGAAGCAGCAGGTATTTGTAAATATAAACAAACATATAAATTAGAGCAATCATGTTACCTTCATGAAAATATTCACAAAGATTTTCTTTAATCATTAAAAAATTAATCTGTGGATTGCTTCAATGAAATTCATCCTTGCCACTCTTCAAGTTATAGAGCTTACATGGAGATAGGTCTTTATCTTGGTCATTTATTATAGGAAAAAAATCATTTAATACATTAGTCACAGCCTTACTATCTGTAATGCACGCTGTCAGTTAGACGAAAATATCTTGTTGCTTTTACTGACTTCAGATGATATTGAACATGTCTTTCAAAATTTTAATTTCATTTGTTTAAATAATATGCTAAATCACTCCCAATTTACTCACATTCAATTTTAAAACTTGAATGTGGTAATTAACAAAAGAAAGTTCAGCAGCCATTAATTACAACATATCATATACATATTAATTTACATAATTGCATTTATCAAGTAACTACCCTAAGTGTAAAATATTGCTTAAACATTTAAAATATTTTGATATATAATGTCAAAACAAATTGAGACATTGCTTACCTTATTTAACCATTGTATAATAAATAAAATTTAAACGTCTCTGAATGCCTGAGATTGACAGCAACAAACAGATATAATATTTCATCATCCATAAGATATTGTAAATTTACAATACAATAACTGCAGGAATAAAGAAGCTCTAGTGTTCAGAAATTAGTGCACCATAATGCCAAATTTGAAACAAAATTAACCATTTGATTTTTAGCAAAATAATTAATTTTAAATACTTTAATTTTTTTCTTGTTTTCTAGAAATTCATTCTATGCTTGTGAAATTTGGATTTGGTTTCACGTTTGGTCAAATTTTGATTTTGCTACCTGCTTATTTGGTATTTGTCAAAATATAAATTCAGCAGATCCTTTGTACAAAATCCAGACATTGGGAATTTGAGCCTGGAGAAGCAGCACTAGTAACTTTGAGGAAATGATAAGCTTCTCTGCACTCACCTGCTCCATCGGATCTCTCCCTGCACTGCCACTGGAAATGTGAGAAAGGTGGGGTGGCAAAGACAGTAGGTAAGTTAAGGCAGGTATGAGCTGTATCCTTCTCTCACACACATTTATGTTTGTTTATTTATATATAGCTTTATATAGAAAAGAAAATACACGCAATACTACAAATAATCTAGATATGTTCATTGAAAGAGGGTAACTTAGTTTTAGATTTGAAAGGATCAGGACCACTGAAGGAAGATAAGTATAAGGCCTGTGTCCATCCCAGTCAAGTGTAGCTAAGGACACTTTTATGCCTCGTTAGCCTTATTTAACCAGAGATTAAAGCTACAACACTGCGTATGACCAGCTTTCCAAGTTAATAAGTAGAAATGACAAAATATGTTAATTAAAATCAGTTTATAGCATATAGCATAGTATATAGTATGAAATTTGACAGAATGAACTCAAAATTTAACTACTGATATGATTTATGGTAAAACCAAGTCTGGTATAAATGGTAAACTACCATTTCTTTTTGTAGTGCATATAGTGTAGAATTTTCAAATATATATACATATGTATGTGAATATATATATACGTGTGTGTATATATATGTATATGTGTGTATATATGTATATGTATACACACACGTACAACCGGTGCTATAGAACTAAAACTTTGTGCAAATTATTGTCATTATAGTTTACATACACAATCTGGTCCACTGGGTAAATACTAATTAGGCAATTGGGAATCAGGAAAAGGCCTCTGAAGGGATGATGGGGAGGAAGAAGGACAGTGGGGACAGACTGAACCATCATAATGCATCACCACTGATTAGATGCTCTGTTTCTCACTAATCGATTACTTAAAAGCTTTGAAGAGCAAAAAGAATTATTATTCTTTATTGATTACTTCCTTTCTTATCCTCTGATTCCTCTGTTTGCTTTGACATTTTGTAGTGATTCACTTCTTTCTTCCCAAATACAGTTTTTATACCAAACTATCAACCTGTAGAAACTAGAAAACTCAAGCTGTCCAGTGCAATACATTAAGACATTTTCAACAATAAATAATGAAATAGTTGTTCAGCTCTTAAGCTTGAAACACTTTATGTGCAACATGTGTGCACATATTTAATTCCCACAAGGTCAATTAAAACACATTTTTTTAAAACGATGACAAAATCTAGTCTTCACTGCAGTTGTCAGTCTTTGTCTTGGTTATTATTAAACCTTGAAAACTATTTATAATGCCTTCAAAAATTTCCAAGAACACCAGTAGTGGAGTGATAACTCCTGGGACTACCACAGAAAACAGTGGAACTCTAGGTTTGGAATGTATTGATCCAACCTCCTCATTTACTGATGAATAAACTAAGGGTCAGATCTGTTTGACCAAGGTCACACCATTAACTAATGGGAGGCTCTAAACAACACCCATGTTTTGAAGATTCTATTATAGACCACAGCCTCTCTCAGCAGATGCTAATTAAGTAAAACCATTGCAAATCTTCCTTTGGTCACAAAACCTGGGTCTCTACATTAGGGAAGATAACCTATTAGTTATTCTTTCCTTTGTTTTTCCTATTAAAACATGGTTAATCATTATGTAGTCATAACACAAATAATTTTTAAAGTGAAAGGTTATTGTTAAATTTTGATGACTACATAAGATACATTTTCTTCTTTTAATTTAATTTATGCTTTTAGGGAATTCCTTAAATCATTATTTGACATTCCATAGTTAATTGGAAATTATCCATATGTGCATAAACATTTTAGGATTATTAGGAGATTTCACATAGGAAAGGAACAATGATGAAGGATTCTATGTAACTAGAGTCAAAGCATAGGTCTGAAATGAATAAAATTATATCAAAGTCTATACTTTGTCCTACATTAGAAACATTTAAAAAGTTACTTAAGACATCTACAATAGATATACAAACATTCAGCAGGATTAAAGATGATAAAGCATTCACTAGAATTAAAGATTGAAGATACCATATTCAGAAATGGAAACTGGTTTATCTATTGTAGAGTAACAGAAGGCAATAAATTCAAAGTTGCTATGTTAGGCTATCCCAATTATTATTGTCTAATTTGTGTGATCCTCAACACCATTAGATGTAAGTAATATACAATATTCAGGCTATTTGACTTATTACTTACTATGGTCTTTAGTAGGATTAGGCTAAAGTATTCTACTATAACCTCCTCTGTTTTTATTCATGTATTAATGTATCAAATATACTTTGAAAGTCTACTAAGAGACAGACAATATTGTAGATGCTGGAGAGAAAATGGTAAATAAAAATCATCTTTCACTTTATGATTAAGTTGGGGAGACAGATCTACTGTCAAATTAACTACAAAATAAATGTAAAAGGATTCCCTGATTCTCTACAGTTCCAATTTAGTGTCTTATACGGAGCAATTATCAATCCTCTTTAACCAAAGAGGATGAATGGGCTTAAATGCAAACAACAATTTCTGAAAAATTAATTTAATAAGGTAAACGGGTTCCCAAAAGTAGATGTAAATATAAAGAAAGATGAGACCCAATTCTAAACATTTGTTAATTCTGTTTCTGTTCTTCAATTTTCCTCTACTACTTGCTAGTCTCTGTGAGGACATTTTCCACATTGAGTTCCCAGTTTTCCCTCTCTCTTTCCTTTTGTTGATATGTATTTTAGAGAGGACTCAGGCAGCCCACACTGTTAGGTGAAGATAGAAAGCCTGAATATTTTCTTTTATATTGATACTTGAATTATGAACATAAGAGCAGTTCAACAGAACAGAATTATGTTTGCTGTTGAAATTCTTTCTTCACTCATTGCTAGGTTTGGGGCATCTATAGCAAAATGCAAACTAACAATAGAAAGACATACAAATGTATTTAATATAAATTACAAATGCATGAAAGGCTTCAGAAATAAAAGCCTAAATAGACAAGAAAACTGTGTACTGTTGATGCTTGAACAACACAAGTTTGAACTGTGTGCGTGTGCTCTTCTGCCTCTGTTTCCCCTAAGACAGCAACACCAACCCCTCATCTTCCTCCTCCTCAGCCTACTCATCATGAAGATGAGAATGAAGATCGTTGTGATGATCTACTTCCAGTAAATGAATAACTATATTTTATCTTCCTTATAATTTTAAAAATAACATTATCTTTTCTCTAGCTTATTTTATTATAGGAATATAGTATATAATACATAAAACACACAAAAATATATGTGTTAATCAATTGTTTATGTTATCTGTAAGACTTATGGTCAACAATAGGCTGTAGTGATTAAGTTTTTGGAGAGTCAAAAGTTATCAGTGAATTTTTGACCATGCCTGATGCCATCACTAATCTCCTACTTGTTCAATGGTAAACTATTTTTTTACTTAGGCTTAATAAATACTTGGATAGTCATGGAGAAGCATGCTTGGACAAATGAAGTATGATCTAATAGTACAAATGGTATAGGGGAATTTAGCAAGGCCTGTTTGTTCAGATTCTTCTGTGTTTCTCTGTTCAGAAAATGTTCCTTTCCTTCCAGTATAGGGAGGGCACCTCTCAAACGAGGGTCTTATGATTTATTTCAGGGGAGAAGGGCAGGAAAAATTCAAAGTGACTTTCCTAGATTTTGTTACCTGCTTCTGATGCTTTCTCAAATGCGGACATGCCATATTTTAGAGTAACTTGTCTTGAACCCCATCAATGGAAAACCCTTCAGCCTTAGAATAGCAATGTGTACCTGTTAAACTTGTATTTTTCCTGAAACAAATTGCAGGGCTGATCAGTTCTTCTTCAGAGAAATATAGTGCCTATGTGGTTTCTTCCACTTATCAACTTTGATATCGACTCAGATTAAAAAACAAGTCTGTAAATGCATGTGCATGCACCTGTGTGTGTGTTGCGTGTTTGTATCATTAGATGTGAGAAAAATGCTTCTTTTTAATATTAAAATTTTATAATGCTGAAATAAATTAAGCTTTGTTTAATGATTTACTACAGATAAATTTTTGATATTAAAACTTCAGCTCTGGTAGCAAGATTTTCTTTTAAAATCTAATTTATAGATTTATATTAGTGTCTTCAAATAATGAACTATTTACTCTTTATTTTTAGGTATTTTATTTCCACTCAATTTATAGCAGTTTTATGCCAAATGATTACATTTCAGGCAAAATATCTGCTAAACGAAACTTCATGCAATAATGACTTGTACAGTGCATTAGATTGAATGGTACACTTAGCTAAAATATTGCCCAGAAGAAAGCTTATTTTGTCAAATATTAAAAGAACAATTTTCTATTCATTCAGGTTTATTCTAGAATTTATAAATTATCAGTTTATAAAAAGTATATTAGAATACATTTAGGAATTGTTACTGCTAGTACTATTGGACGATTAGTTTTCCCAGGTGTTAAGCAATGTATAGTGCTGATTTTCATCAATCACAATCATTATATGTTGAACACACTGCTTATGGTCATTGCCTTTCTCACTACCTATTTTATCAGCAGCTAACAAATAGAGATAGTGTGCTTAATTGATAAGCACACACACAGAATTAAAAATTGTCTCTATTTGCAATAGTATAATTTAAAAGACTTTACTAGATTTTTGAATAGTTTCTACAAATGCTAAAAGTACCTAAAACGATACTAAGCTTTAATAGTTGAAATGTATTAAAAAGTATAGTCTTTTAAAATCCAAAATGGTATTCTTCACATCATTTATATGTTATCAGATGAGCTAAATATTAATTGCAAGAAAAAAACTACTTTCCAATAAGTTTTAAGTAAGGCCTTTATTGTTATTGATTGATTACTTACTTGTTTTTACACACTTATCTCTTAAATTCTGTATCTCCAGGGAATGATTTTCTAATTATTCAGTGTGTTGATGGTTGTCATGCATCTGCCAGTGTCTGTATTTCTTCACAGATGGATAAAGGGAATTCTCTTCAGTTCTGTGTGATCCTTTAAGGGGACAAGAGGGGACAGTTTCCTAGGGCATTAAACAGAAACTGCTATCTCTTTAATCACTTAGTGTAAGTGCATGAGGTCTTTCACCTCTGTGACCCACGGTATTTGATTAGTACTAAAACTGCATTTGATAAGTGTGTTTTATTTTTAATTTTCATTTTGTTTGTGCATTATTATGCTAAATTTAATTTAGTTTACATCAGCAACATTTCTAGATGTGGCTCTCTTTGGCTGCCTTTCAGTCTCATGGGCTATATAAAAAAGTACATAAATTATTAAGTTTAGCATCATTGAAAACATGTGCATCTATGTAAAAATGTCATACATTCAGTGTGGCTACCATCTGTGGTTATGGTAATATAAACCCATAAACGTGCACAATCCTATATATTGATTCAAATAAACAAAATCCACTTGGATCCATAACCTGATATTGTGGTTTGGGTAGGTACCATTTTATTCTGTCAAACATCAAATGGGAAGAGTAATAAAATACACATATTGTTTTGGTTAGTTGACACTTCCCTTCTCTAACAACTGGGATCCACTCTTTAGAGTGAAATAACTAATTCAACATTGTGGATCAATAGCACCAAGGACTTTTCTTTGGTACTAACACTAGTCATCATTGGAAAATATGCTTTAGTTGTACACATATTGTAATAAAGTGTTTGCACTATATTACTAATTGTACCTAGAGTGACATCTCTATACCATTTAAATTAGGGTAGAAGATAGAGAAGAAACATACGACACCCAGAGAGAAAGATATGTAATTTTAGCTGGAAGGAGGGAATGAGATGTGTATCTCTTTATTAAATTATTTTAATTAATTAATTAATTTTTTTGAGACAGAGTTTCCCTCTTGTTGCCCAGGCTGGAGTGCAATGGTGTGATCTCGGCTTCCTGCAACCTCTACCTCCCGGGTTCAAGCAATTTTACTGCCTCAGCCTCCCGAGTAGCTGGGATTATAGGCACGTGACACCACACCAGGCTAATTTTGTATTTTTAGTAGAGTTGGGGTTTCACCATGTTGGTCAGGCTAGTCTCGAACTCCCAACCTCAGGTGATCCACCTTCCTCGGCCTCCCAAAGTGCTGGGATTACAGGCGTGAGCCACCGTGCCCGGCCTGTTTTTGGCTCTTATAATGATGATTTCAATGGTTATTTCTACATATAAACCCAATATCAAGCATTCTAAGGACTGATCAAACTATGTACGTATGTACATTTCACTTGGGTTCTTTTTGGCCTCTTCATATGGCAATGATTTTGCAATATTTTTCCTATAGAAAGAGTAGGAAAAATATTGTTTCCCTATCAAGGTTATTTAATATTTATATTTTATCACTGATAGTTTAGGAGAGGTCCCTTTAGCTTGTATTATAAAATTTAGGATTGTTGTCAAATTTGCAGTAAATTCTACCAAGTGTTCTTCTTCTTTCTTTCTTTCTTTTTTTTTTTTTTTCATAAAAGCTTTAAGGTTTCTGGACATTTCAGATTTTCTTGGACTGTGAAGACTGACTAATCTCAATTGCCCTGCACTCATTAACTAGGGCTTTAGAAGTTGTCTGTGCAAATCACAGGGCTTGAAAAGTAAATTTCATTAGTTTCATGTTGCATTCACCTCTGGAAAGACCCTATGAAGTAGGTGTTATTGTTGTTCTCATATTAGAAATAATGAAACTAAGACTTGGAAGCATCAAGAGATTGTCTCTTAGTATGACAGAGCTAGTTATCTGGAGCAGCTTGAATTCTCGGCCAATTTATTCAATCTGATTTCAAGTCATTTGTATTAAACTACTTTGTTCTATGCCCTCCCCAAAACAAGATCTGGGATCAGAGCAAGAGACGGAGAACTGCAATCTTTTTTCTCCCTCACCTTCTTCTTTGAGTAATAGTTCTCAAACTGTTAATCTCAGGATACTTTTATACTCAAAAAATTCATTAAAGGCCCTAAGTTTTTGTTTCTGCGGATTATAACTACTATAACAGAAATTAAAATGGAAAAAATTAAATATACATTTATTAATTCATTTGAAAATAACAATAGTAAACTTACTACATGTAAATATATATTACACTTTTTATGAAAAACATATATTTTCCCAACAAACAAGACATTTCGGGAGAAGAGTAGAACCATTTTACATTTTTGCAAATTACTTTCATAGCCTTTTCAGATAATTATAGATAATTTTCTTCAAGATTACACTCAAACCTGAAAAATAATAATTTCATAAAAGCTAGTTGTAATGAGAAATTTAAAACAATTGGCCTATTTTGCACTTTTAAGGTTCTTTTTCATAATATAAAACTTTTCATCTGGAAAATATTGGTTCTTTGAGTTATGCAGACCTTCCAAATGTTAACATAGTTTATTATATAATGGCAAACTATCACATTCATTAATATTATCATTGATTTCATCAGAGATGTCTTAAAATTACTGTGAAGCTCACACTGTGGATGTAATTTTTCCAAAGTCCTAATTTTTGCCTGAAAGCTCACTTTATCAAAGACAACACATTTTTATTGAGGATACAGGTTTACTTCATTCATTTTGGAGAAAGTTTCAGCCAAATATTTAACTCTAAATTATAGGGGTTTTTTGTCAGTTGTTCTTTCAAGTAAAAATAATTTTACATGAAAAAACAAGTGACCAGTTCAACTTGTAACACAAATAAGAGTGTTGTGTGTGTGTGTGTGTGTGTGTGTGTGTGTGAAAAAATCATTGTAGTTTGTTGTGTGGCAGAATTGTTTTGGGCAAATTTCCCACTTTACTACACACAATATTTAAAAGCATGTATACAATTGTTGAAATTTAGTAAAATTAATATTTTTTACTGTCTCACCAAGGAAATTCTGAAATTAAACTGGCTTTTTTTTTAAGTGCAAGATGGCAAAGAACACAATGATTGCTCTTAGAATTTGACACCACTGTTTTCATTGGTGCTAATGTGCTGGTAGTTTTTCCCACCATTGCTTTTGTGTTATCAGTGCTAATAATGTTAACTAAGTAGGACAGATAAAAATGCAAGAAAAAAATGGAGTAGTGTTAATTAATAAAATATGTTATTTTTATGGGTTTTACAATGTCTATGAAATTTGTTGTTTTCTGTAATTGTAATTTATTGAATTTTTTCTCATTCTAAATAAATATTTAGTTTTGTACTTAATTTAATATTCTTAATACTGAATTCTTAAGATCTCCCACCCCCAAATTATATAAGCTTCAGGCTCCAAAAAACTTGGATTTGCCCTTGAGTCTCCGTGGTCATTAAATTAAATAATCTATTTAAGATTTTAGTGTGTTTTCTAATACAAAGCATTTTATATAAATGTTAACTATTTTATTATTCCTAATGCAAAATAGAGCCACATGATTATTTAATGTTGAAAGTTTAATAGCTTCATATAATTGCACATCATATATAAAGACATAATACAAAGCATTATAGTTCTGTACACAACATCTTTATTATTTTCTACTTATCTGCACTTCTCTAGCTATAATGCTGTGACTGCTTATTACATAGAGGCCTTCAAACCTTAGGCCAAACTTGTGCTTATTTGTGTTCTGTTTAGCATCGCCCTCAGTGATAGCTGCATATGCCTGTTTCCAAGCCAGACTAATATATTAGTCACATATTCATCGAATATTTATTTGGCACTGGCTACATGCTTCAGTAATACTCCTGGCCTCAAAAAAGATAAAGGTGAGTGATAGAAATAGGGCCCTTGTCCTCACAGATCTTATAGTTTAACAAAAACAGAGATGGGAGAGTATAAACAAATAATTAAGCAACTAAGATATGTATTCTGGACACTTAATTCAAGGGACAATGAAGAAGGATAAGTGAAGAAAAGTTGGCATCATAAAAAAGTGCAAGATTTAGCCAATGGACTGGAGGATAAGAGAGTGTTCTAATTCCCAGGAACCAGTAGATAAGGGCCCTTTTGTTGTCATGTTTCTTTGCTCAAGAATGCCCTTTGCCAATAAGTGCCAGCAAACACCCATTTGTTTATGAAAGGCCAATACTAATGTTCTTTTTTATGAAGCCCATTATGACTCTACCAAGTAATTTGTTTCTTTGATATAGGTGTTTTCCTCATTTATACATGGAGATAATCGCCTTTGATAAATGTTTAGTGCAATGCCTGTCACAAAGCTGTCATTAAATTATTGTTGTTATCATTTATATCACTGTCATTTACATCAATATAGTTTAACAATCTCAAGTACTCTCTGGTGTCATCATTTTCAATTATCAATTGCAACATTCACAGCATTGTATGCTTCAATAATTGTTATTAGTTAAATAATCATTTTGCTATTTACAGATTTGTCGACAAAAGTGAAAGTTACTCCTGGTCATGGCCGAGTGCCTGAGTAATGCCAGGAGTGTAGGAGTCTCAAAGAAGCATAAATTGTTCATTTGAGATGAAAGGATATTCAATTATTCTGCACTGATTGGGTTTCTGAGATAAGAAACATATCATTTCTGAAGAAAGATGTCCTTTAATTGGATAAAAAAGGCAGGAAACTATATGGTCTACAGACCTTTCTAACTGTATACTTCTTTGAATAAAAACTATCAAAATGTATTCTTAATATATATGTATTTATTTAAGTGATGGACATGTACCAGTACATTGTACACATTATAAAACATTCATACAATAGGAATACATAAAAAATAATTTTTAAGCCATATTTTGATGTACTGCCTTTTTAACTTTATTATTAAAAGTGTACAATTATTTATCTTTGATGCGACTCTATATTTCAAATGGTCTTGAAAATTTTGGGTATTTTTATATAATTTCTCACTATATCTCATGAGATTATAATTGACTTTACATTACAATGTGCAGTTTGAAGAGTTTATAATTGAAGAAGGTAAATCAGCTCTTTTTGTGTCTGTTTTATTTGTGTTTGCATTATGTAGTAGTATACACATCAGTCTGAGCTTTAACAGATAATTTATTTAATTGGCCATTTACTTTAAAGAAAAATTAATACATACAAATTGTAATATTGTATTTCTATCATGAGCAAGCCAATGATGCCTACCTTTTATGGAGACCAATGTCTTAGAATTTTATTTGTCATCTAAAATTAGAAACTATATTACAAGATTTCAAAGCAACTTTTAACACTCAGCAGGCTTGTTTAAAATGTGGGTATTCCCAGGTTCCAACTGTCACAGATCCTGATTCAATAAGCCCTCAGTTAGCTAAGGGATATGCATATTTAATGTATCACTCAAGTTATTCTGATACCCAATTAAAACTAAGAAGTAGAAGATCAAGCTTCTAGAAATGAGCTACGCACTTATTTTGAAAACTCTCCCCTTTGTTTCTTAACCATGATTAGTTGTAGAACTTTTAAATAAAAAAGTGGCCCATGTTCTCCTCTTGGATGGCAGCAAACAATGGGTGTACAGCTTAGATTTCCACATCCTCTGTATGCCCAGGCTTGTGGGTGAAGAACCCTAGGTGAAAGAGTTTGTGGTGGCATCTGCCAGAGGAAGAGAATGTAGATTGTTCTCCAGAGCCCACAGAGGGAAAAAAAAGTAAAGAAAAAGAAATAAAACCAGGAGTCCTTGGGGAAAGAAGAGGTACCTATGACTAAAATATCAGAATTGGTTATGTTGGCTTCACTGCCAGTGCCCTTAATGTATTACAGCTATAAGTGAACACCAATTATATTTTACTCATGTTTGTATATCAGACACAATTTTTACCTGATTTATGTTATTAGTACATTAATATAAAATGAAAGACATTTTTTTTAGCAATACATTACCAATTCTATGGTTACTCTTTATCATATGGTAAATATATGTGATTTCAACTTACTTTATAAATGGAATATATATAGTAAAATTAATTAGATTATAACATCTATTTTAAAATAAGATTTCTAACAGAAGGATACAGAGTCATAACAGATGGAACCACATACAGGCACACACTCACAGGAGAGCTACTCTAGGTCCTGTAGGAGTCTTTCAAGGATACAGTTATGATCAAAATATATGCTTGCCATTGAAGAGACAGTGGTGCTGGTGAAAGATTTTCCATAATTCTAAAATTATACACGCAAAGTATGTTATTTTACTCCCAGCAATATGGTTTAACAATCTCAAACTTTATGAAAGAAAAATCAATAAAAAGTTATTGTGTGAAGTGTTTTGAGTTATAGATTATTCACACGGAAATATAGAACCTATTTAAGTCACCTACAACAGGCTCATAGAATGTTTTCATTAATATTATTCCAAGTTTGTTGGTAGGAAATGTTAAATAAGCAAGGCTTAAATATGCTATCTGATATTAGCAAATTGTCAGTCAATTTGGAAATTGTCAGTAATCCCCTCCACAAATGTTTGTTTGCTCCTAACTGTAATAATAAAAAAATCAGTACTTTAAAATATTTTACTTTAGTTTGCCTTATTCTTCAAGGTATCATATTCAAATACAACTGGTATTCTGTCCTAGATGTTCTGAGTCAGATCTGGATACCATGTGTTGTCGCTGTGTCTCTAAACAATTCATTCTGTCACTGACACTTTGGTTTGGTTTCTTGGGCTATGTCAACAAGCCAGCCTAGAAAAATTTCCATAAAAAATACATATGGGTGGCAGAGTTTCAGGTTCCTTTTTTTTTTTTTTTTTATCTCTACACAAATTTCTATTTACCGATTTATGTTAAAATTCTAGGCAAACCTCTTCCCCAGGGGGAAACAAAAAATGTTTATTGGCACTCTGTCCTCTCCCATTTCAATTCACAACTTATGAATGGGTCAGTCATATGATTATCGGGAGAACTGATAGTGGTCTCTGATTAAAAAAAGTCTGAGATTATAATGTCAGTTCTGCACCTTGCTTACTGTGTAATTTTGGGCAGCTAATTAAACTTCTCTGGATTTAGCTTTCTAGTGTGTAAAGTTAGGAAAGTAGTAACACCAGTCTTTAAAAGATAATATATATGTTATGGGCTTTATCAACTCTGAAAAAGACTACAAATTTAAAAATAATACATTACTCTTGCCTGATAAAGAAACAGTGCTATTTAAAAGACAGCTATCTAGACAGTGTTGACAGAGAAGGAAAGGAGCTCTCATTGTTTCTTTGATCCAAACAGAGTTATCTCTTAAACTGATGGTACAATCAGTTGGTTCAGGTCAGAGGGGCCTGGCCTGGGCCCAACTACATAGAATCATGTTGCACAAAATGCAGGACAAAGAGTTCAACACAAAAGTGGATCAGAGCAGTGAATAACTCAGAGCAGTAAACTGAACTTTATTTTTTATAGGGTTGGGGTCAGGTATAACAGTGATGAGGGAGTCCAAAGGACCTTGGCCTCAGATCTTTTCAAGCAGGCATGTGCTCCAATGTCATGACCCCAGAACAGAAACAGACAAAACTAGCATAGATCCCATTGAACCACTAGGAAAGGAATGAAGAGTCCATGTGTAAACTATCCATTGTTCAACTAGGCAATTTTATTTTGGACAGTGTTTGCCTAAACAAGGGAGAGAGAATAAGGAAAATATAAGTAAAAAGCAACTCAGTAAAGAATATGATTAAAAGGCACACCAAGATGCAAAAGTAGGGGAAATAGAGATTTAGGTAACACTCTATTGTTTGAAGTAGAAACTGCATCTTTTTAAAGGTTAAGACTTCAATATATCCTCACTTTACCACTGAGAAAACCAAACTGTAAAAGAATAGATCAGATACTAAAGTTCACATACTGACCAGTGTTCAAATCCATATATTCTTTTCTGGTGTCAAACACTGTGTTCCTGAAACCTGTGTTATCGTATCTGAGATGATTGTCAAGATGTTCTCATTTGGTGGTCACCAGTGATAGCGTTTATTATGTTTAGTGTTCTCAAAACACAAGTAAATATAAAACAGATAGCTAAGTGTGTAATAGATTATATTATAGTCACTCACATGAATCATACACACAGACACTTAATAGACAAACAAGATGTCTCAGGTATAATGTCAAATAATGTTATGAGTATCTTTAGGAGAAAGAAAAGGAAAAATCTCTCTTAAAATAAACTTAACAATCAATGCTATGAATAGAACAAAAACTGTGAAGGATTAATAGCATTGACTTAAATGTCAAATTCTCCTTTGATTAAAAAAACATAGTGTATAATTATAGAATTTCAATCTAGATTGTTTTATGACACTCAAATTTATCACACATAGGTTAATATGTATATTAACCTAACTTGCTATTGAGCAAGTCTTTTAGGAAGGCAAGAAACACATAATAATCATTGCAGATAATAAAATTGCTGAAGGCTGCAGTGAGGTTTAGAAATCCCCAATCAAATTTAGCTGTCTATTCTCAAGATGTGTACATTACTAGACCAATTTTCTTAATACATATTTTTACTTCTAGAATATATGCCCTAAAAATTAGCAAAACATCTGAAAGTCTTTATCTCTTGCAAACTTATTTTGCTACCATTTACTAACCCTGAGAAGTTAAACATTTCTTTGTACGTATGTTTTTGAAGGTGATTTGATATTTTATTTAAATAAAGCTGTTTTCAAAGTAGCTAAAGGTAAAATTGGAATTTTGCATTTAAATTTCAAATTAACATGAAAAAAAAATCCAAGCTGGGTGTCTGGTAATATGCAGAAAACTAATCATTCCAATGCAATGGCAATGAATATAAGCATAAAAGACTATAAAACACTATACATATATTACATATATTTGTGTATGTACGTAAATATATGTATATAGTCTGTTATTTTCCATGTTTGTTTTGTTTCCCACTATGGTTTTTGTTTTAAAGATGGATTCAGGTAGTTTATTTTTCTGTGTGTGGAGTATATTCACTGTTCTAAAAGTATGGCCAGAATTAATTGATTTATTTAAAGTTAACTTAAGAAAATATTAACCTCCCCAACCTCAACTGGTCAAGGCATAAGCAACCCTCTGTGTCTGCTTCACAGAAACGAAGGCATTGCCCTGCACTTCAGTCTTTAGCAGAGATACTATACTGTACTAGGAGTTCATCATCAACAAAGAATGCGACCCTCAGCCAGGACCTAGGAGATAACTATGAATTTGTACTTCTGCTGTCTCCACCATGCTATTTAGTGGAGATGAGGAAAGGACTTATGAAAATATCAAGGTCTCTTGAAAATTATTTAAGTGTCACACAGAGTGGGAGAAAATTTTCGCAAACCATGCATCGGACAAAGGACTAATATCCAGAATCTGCAAGGAAAACAAACGAATTGGTAAGCAAAAAACAAGTAATCCCATCAAAAAGTGGGCTGGGGACATGAATAGATGATTCCCAAAAGAAGATATACAAATGGCCAACAAACATGAACAAATGCCCAACAGCCCAACATCACTAATTGTCAGAGAAACGCAAATCAAAACCATAAGGCAATACCATCTTATTCCTGCAAGAATGGCCACAATTAAAAAAAAATAGATGTTGGTGTGAATGTGCTGAAAAGGGAACCCTTTTACACTGCCAGTGGGAATGTAAGCTAGCACAACCACTGTGGAAAACAGTATGGAGATTCCTTAAAGCACTATTAGGTTGGTGTGAATGTAATTGCAGTTTTGGCCATTTTAATGACAATACCACAATTACTTTTGCACCAACCTCATAAAATTAGAACTACCATTCAATCCAGCACTCCCACTACTGGGTATTTATCCAGAGGAAAATAAGTCATTACATGAAAAACAGACTTGTACAGGCATGTTTATACCAGGACAATTTGCTATTGCAAAAATATGGAACTAGCTCAAAAGCCGATCAATCAATGAGAAGATAAATAAAATATGATATATATATATATCATATATTTGTGTGTGTGTGTGTGTGTGTATACACCATGGAATACTACTCAGCCATAAAAAGGACAAAATAATGGCATTAACAGCAAGTTGGACGGACTTGGAGATGGTTATTCTAAATACAATAACTCATAACTGGAAAACCAAACATTGTATGTCCTCACTTATCAGTGGGAACTAAACTATGAGGATGCAAAGGCATAAGAATAATACAATGAACTTTGGGGACTCTGGGAGGGGTGAGGGGGGTGCAGGATAAAAGACTACACATTGGGTACAGTGTGCACTGCTCAGGTGATGGGTGCATCAAAATCTCAGAAATCACCACTAATGAACTTATCCGTGTAACCCCCATTCCAAAAAAGCTGTTGAAAAAAAAAAGTCTCTAAGAAATAATGCAAAGAAAAGAACCACACACTACAATTCCAAAGCTGGCAGGCAAAGGCAGACAGACACAGGAAAAACAAACTGGAAACAATTTTTATTATATGTTGTCACATGGCAATACTACAAATATATCAATTTTCAAATGAAAAAAATTATTTAAGGGTCAACAGTTTATTTGTGTAACTTCTTGATAACACTTTATAAAGAAAGCTACATTATTTACTTAGAAGAGCACTGGGATTATTTTTGTAATTCCCATAACACACACACAGGTCTACTTATAAAATTGCCGAATATTAGAGCTTGAAGGAAACTTAGAGATTATTTTACCTTTGTTTGTATTTGTAGGTGAGAAAACTGAAGTCCAGAGAATTTAAATAACTCTTCTGAATGCCTGCAGCAAATCTTGAAGTCCTGAGGCCAACTCCCAGTGCTGTATTCTGCATTCCAGAGCACAATTCGTCGTCTTGGATAAATGGTAGTCCAACTTGCAACATAGACTGCATCACATCATTTGTTAATGGAACTATGTAATAGGAAAGTTATGGCTGAAATTAATTTTGGAATTCACCTAATGGAATTTATTACTTTGTAGGTAAAAAAAGTGAGGTCAAAAAAAGTTGTGTAAAATGAAAAGGAAACTGCCTAAAGTAACAGTGTTAGATGAATGTGCATATTTTATCAACTAGTTCAGCATTAGCTAGATCATGTAACAACCTTGTCATATCTAGGCTCATCTTTTTGTTTTGAGTTATTTAAGTGTCATCTTCTTAACTTTCACTAGAAATGGTCCTGTAATTATCTTTCACCCTACAATACTAATAAACATATAGTCAAATAAAGTTGGCAAAACAGGCAGCCTTTAAAAGCAGAGATGCCTATTCTCTATTGCAATATTTTTAAAGCCTTGCTTTATACTGATAAGCATGAAAATCTCATTTTCTTTCTTCCTTACCACAAGATGCATATATTTATCCAAGAAGATTTTGTCCAGTTTCATTCTGAGCAGTTTGTATCATGAAAACAATACATTTGTTTCATTTTCGAAATACAAAATTATTATGTTGTCTATGCTTTTCAAACCATACAATCTGTGGAGTTTCCTTTTTGAGAATCACTGCTCCTGATTTTCTTTTATATATATATATATATATATATATATATATATATATATATATATATATATATATACATACATATATACATATATATAATAAATATATATATAAAATACATATATATAATAAATATATATATAAAATACATATATAATACATATATGTAATATATATTATACATATATATATTATACTTTTAGTGCTATTTTCTAGTGAAAATCAGAATAAGCTGTGTTCTTCTAATCTGTGATCCTCTTATCTTTCCTCTTTTCCTGTTTTCTTTTCCCCTTCTCCTTCCTCTCTCTCTCTTCATGAACAATTCAGATCTCCAGCCTTTAGGTGATATGGGGCACAGTAAGAAAGGTACACACTCACTTGGAGATGC
This sequence comes from Homo sapiens, assembly GCF_000001405.40. Classification (NCBI taxonomy): domain Eukaryota; kingdom Metazoa; phylum Chordata; class Mammalia; order Primates; family Hominidae; genus Homo; species Homo sapiens. The sequence continues at coordinate 85,225,419 of NC_000007.14, forward strand.
AGCCTGGTGAGGGATGTTAGAAGCCTATGTTTAATGAGGAGGTCTTCCAGGTGGAGTGGCTGGAGTGGCCTGGTGTGTGGGGCATCAGTATAAAGTTTGCTGAACTGGCTATTAAGAAATCATACTTAACCAGATTGAAAGGTTAAAAGATTTTCTAGATAACTATCAGCAATTTTGATTTAGGTACATATCCTATCTTAATTGACAGAAAAATTGTGATGAGCCACCTACAGACTGCTAAACTAAAAGAGCACCCTGTAACACACGCCCACTGGGGCTTTAGCTGTAAACATTCACCCCTAGACACTGCTGTGGGGTCAGAGCCCCACAGGTCCCTGCCTGTATGCTCCCCTAGAGGTATGAGCAGTGGGGTACTGAGGAGGCGAGCCACACTCCCCATTGCATCCGGCCAGGGGGACAAGGGAATCTTTCCCATTTCAATTTCATGTTACAAACATCATTTCTTAGGAAAGATTATATTACCTTGAAAGTTTTACATACTATACTTTACAAATACAATAATATAAAAATCTAGTATATAGGATTATAAAGCCTCCACATTGCACTAATTTTCTAAATTACACTTATGACTTCTCTTTCACTAATCCATCATTAAGCTATCAAAATCCTTGTTTAGCTCCTCCCCATCAAATTCCCATATTTTTAAACAAACACATTATTAGTACATTTTCTTATAGTATTAAGGCTGTTTAACATTCCAGGGCTTTCACATGTTTTATTCACTCTCTCCACTGTAAATAGTCTTTACCAGCTTGAATTTATATGACACTTCGTTAAAAAAAAACTCTTTTTTTCTTTTGCTAGTGTGCTCATGAGTTTAGTTTCAAATGAATCTAACACATACTCCTTTCATCCTTGTTTTTGAGGTTTGACAAAATAAAATTGCAACTTCATGCTGCAGGTAAAAATACTAATAACTTCAATGTTTTTTCAACTTCAATCCAGAGATAATGCAGTATCCATATTTTTTATAAAACTAGCATATATGCATTCTTATTAAATGACATACTCATTGTATGGTTGGTAAGCCCCCTTTTTCACTTAAATATGGAATTAAACTATGAAAGATAGCAAATTTTACTTTGATTTTTGTGGTTGTGGAAACACATTAGATAACATATTTGCAGGTTTTGTGGTACTTGTGGTAACAACAGGATTGTGAACTCATAGTTTGTTTTGGTGGATAGTCACATTCAAGAGAAAGGCAGTTTTCCAGTTTCAACACTGAAAAGTAAGATGAGGATTTTTTTTTTTGTTAGTCTTCATATATAAGAAATGTCTTTGTTGCAACAAGTCAAAGTTGCATAAAAATAATTAGTATTGTTTAAAGTGAGGGTTAAACACAGCCTGCTTTATGGAATAGAAACTTTACTGATTACAAGGCAGATATCTTCAAAGTGCATGCCACGTACTTCTTTATTGAGTTTATATTGTGGAAATTTATGGTACTATAAAGATTTATCTATACATCAGTGGATAACTGATGGTAAATGAAAAGCCCTGTGGTTTCTTTTAAAGTATGTGCATTAAGCGCAATGACCTTTATGTGCTTTCAAATAAAAATAAGATTGAATTGTAAAAGCAGTAATTGAGATCCCTTTCCACGGTTTATTTTCTTGAAAAATGATATTGAGTTAATTGACTCTTTTTGTCCTTTGTATTTATATTTTTTGCTGAATAGTATTTATTCTGCTGGAAAGTATTTCTGTAAATATTATCAATGTACTCTCTATGAAATATAAGGATTAGGGCTAAACTGTAAGAACATAATAAAAATATTCACATCATTATTCTTTGAAACATTGTAAACCTACATGATGCCATGGTCTCAATGTTTGGGTCTCCCAAAATTTCTATGTGGAAAGGTAACCACCAATGTCATGTTAGGAGATGGGAACATTGGGAGGTTATTGGATCATGAGGGCAGATTGCTCATGACTGGGATTAGTGCCAGTATAAAGGACACCCCAAAGAGCTGCTTTGCTTTTTCTAACATGTGAGGGCACAGACAGAAGCCACCATCTATGAACCAGGAAACAGGCCCTCACTAGATGTTGAATATGCCAGTACCTTAATCTTGAATTTCTCAGCATCCAGAACTACAAAAAATAAATTTCAGTTGTTTATAAGCTACCCAGTTAATAGTATTTTGTTATAGCAGCACAAACAGACTGAAATACATGGCATCTAATTTGAAAACATGCATGACAAATATATAAAATATATGTAATATATGTATGAATATATTTAATATCAGGTCTGCAGAAAAAATTACATTCTTTTAGTAGAAAACAAATGTATGATGAATTTCATAAGTTAGAATTCTGTGTACTATTTCATTTTGAAGAAATTTTCTAAGTTGGACCTTATTAATCATAGTGCAATTTCTTCCAGATTGTTCGTACAATATTATAAAAATCTCTCACTCCTTGTGGTCAATCATATTTTCCATGGCGAATCACAATGGAACAAAGATTAACACTGGCAATAATTATATGACTCAAGTAATTTAGAAAATAATAAATTGTTCTTGCTTCCTCTGTTAATTTTTATATTGATCAACTTGGTATAGAGACTAAGAAAATCTTAGTTTCTAATATTTGTTATCAAAGTATATGACATTGGCCAAAAGCACAATGTTAGACTGTACTTTTTATAAATTTTATGATGAAAAATGACACATCTCTCTTAAAACTGTGACTTGTGTATCTTTTACTTTTTATGTGTTTGTCATACTGACAGATATTTTGAGGTTTTCTATTCTTGTTTTTCTTGTCAAACATCTGCATGAAAAGCCAGTAAGTATTCTGCACACTACAAAGTCATGGTTAAATAATTTCAAACTGTGCAGATAAAAATCGCGAAAGAAACACAACCATTCAGATATTTTCTACACTATGCCAATTTTCCGAATGGTAATTTCATTTTCATTTTTTAAAAAATATTTTATCATTCACTAAGCGGTATGGTATGTTTATTAAAAAACAGAACAAATCAGAGATAGGAAGAGAGATATGTAAGACTTCACAAATATCTACTGGTACACAGTGGTCTAATATTTACTTCCAATGTCAGATCTGGAAATCTCATCAGATAACCTATGTTGTTGCCCTCCAGGCCATAGAGTCAAAATTCTGTTCTTTCTTTGTGTAATCTCTTGATCGTATTCCTTCCTTGATCACACACATTTTCTGTATTTTTTTTAACAAAAGAGTTGGTAATCCATAATTTTTCTCATCCTTTATCTTATCTCATCTGTTTTTCTTATTGTTTTATGCCATCTTAAAACTGCTATTTTGTGATTTCATTGCTCATGAAAGTCATAAGAGAATTATGAAAAAGACATAGAGAGAAGAAATCATGAACACATTTTTAATTCATTGCTCTGGGATAAGAAAGAAACAACAACAAATAAAACCCGTTTAATGTCTCTGTCTTGTGGCCTGTTTTTTAACAATGTTGGTAATCCCAAAGGACAATTAAGTAGCCCAGTTTATAAAATGCTTTACCTAGCACAGCATACTCTGTAAGTTTCCATAAAGTGAAAGAACTTCTAGACATTGTTTCAATGATTTTTTTTCTTTCAGTCCTAAGTAAAATAAAACCTCAGTTTATCACCTTGTCTCTGAAAACTGCTTTTCTTATTTTCATTGTATTTATTTACCATAAGAAGATATACTAAGTTGTAAAATGGAGCCTTTGCATGTTTAATAAAAAGAAAATATATGACACCATATTTTAGAAATCTTGAAACTACATGTAATTGTAAGCCTTCAGAAGATAAACAACTTCAAAAAATTATGAGACAAAATTTTTGTCTTAGATTCTGATATCATCTCGCTCAGAGTACTGCAAATGCTTTTAAAAATATAATTGAAAGATTACATTAATAAAAAACTGTCTTGGTCCATTGCTATTTTTTTAAAAATACCCTCCAATAACTGAATATTTTAGTTCAATAAAATTATTTTAAAAATTCTACATATTCAATAAGAGCATTTCATGAAATTAGGGTTTCTACACCATTGGATTTTATCTACAAAAATGGTCATGGCTCTAGTAACTATTTTTTATAAAAACATTATGGCTAAACTCCAAAAATTACATATACTGTTTGTTAACAAGTGTCTAAATTTAATATGAGTGTAACTTTAAGTGCCCTTGATGAAAAACCAAAGAAAATGAATAAAATTTCAGTCTCATTTTATCTTAGCAGCATTCAAAATGAAACACTGGAAATGATTAGATACAAATTCCCTTCTAATAATAGAACTTTGCACATTTTGCATATTTTGCATTTTCCCCTCTACTAACATGTCTGATCCAATTTATTTCTAATCCCTTGCTTCTGTTTTTCCTGTTCTTCATTCTTCATTCTGTCTCAACTACCCACTTTGCCAGCCTTCTACTTACTTTTCATTCCATCTTTTTGAACCTATTTTTAAATGTAAGTAAGCTCCAATGTACTTCTGCTTTTCAAAATAAAAGAAAAAAACTCTTCTTAACTGCTTTAAATAAAACTAAGTTTTCTTGAATGGTAAAACTCTCACACATTTTTCTTCTGCAGTTTATTTAATGACATCCAATTAGAATGAATATTTTGTGCCTTGTCAATCTCTTACTACTTCCAGATAAATGTGCAGCAAAATAGCTTTGATTATATCCATATTTCTACATCTTAATCAATACTCTCCTTTTCACATTGTTCACTTCTTCCATTCTCTTGAATCAGATTTTTGCTACCATGACATTTCTCTGTGTCTCATTCAGCCACTCTTCACTCAGCTTTTTAGAGGCTTTCCAGAATCACATGCCTCTGCTTATGACCAGCCTTTTCAATAATGGCATTGCTTGAACACTTACTATAACCTTAACCAACTTTACCAATATCCAACTTGGGATATCTCTACAGCATGTTTCTGTGTTGTTGATTTTGAGCTGCACTTTGGATTCAGTGCATATACATGGGATCAATCCTTCAAGGATCCTCAGTGTTTACAGTTCCAGGAGTGTTTCACATAATTTTTATATTCTACAATTATTCCTCACCCTCACTAAAACAGTCAACGTATCTCATAACCTACATTGTAGAGCTTGAAGTCGTCCAGTATGAAGTGTTTTCATTTCCCTTTTCCTCGATATCTTTCCAGTTTTACTTATTAAAAGTATATCTCCTATTAATGTGTTGAATCCTCCTTGCTCATTTACTTTGAATTTTAATTTGTTAATATCTATACTTCTTCCATGGTCTTTAGATCTCCTCTCTTACTTGGCTGTTTGCTCATTTCCTGAATGTATGCTTAGTTCATCCATGCATTAAAATGTCGTCTACTTTCTCAAACCTTCTACTTCCTCATGCAACCGTTAAACTAGTCTGCTTCCTCTCCATGTCGAAGAACATAATGGAGTAATTTCTACCTGCTTATTGCATTTTATAGTCCCATTTGGCTTGCCTTTCATACTCAGTTGCCAAACCAACAAACTCAACAAGAACACCAACTTCCCTCTAATAGTGGGCTTTACTCCCAGTTCTTGAACACTTGGGGCTCAGTTTCTGTAATAGTTTACACTTTCTTGTCTTTGAGGAATGTGTTTTCTTGGTATGTAGATGTTGTTTTCTTAAAACGTTCTTTTCTAGTTCTCTCAGTGTGACTGTTTTTTGTTTTTATTTTTCATTTGTGTCTTCTCAGGTCTCTTCCTTTCTCTGTCTTAAAAGTAGACAGTGCCAGGATTCTATCTTTGGCTTTCTCTTCCTTTCTATCCAACCCTTTTACTATGCTGTAGCGTCTACTTTATCGTACGTATCCATCTTGATATATTATGATTATTGACAAATCAACATCCACAATGACAAATTAATCATTAATTTTCCTGAAATGGATATTCCATTCTTTATTTTTTTAAACTGCTGTATGTTTTTTAGAAAGCATCCAAGTGTTGAAATCTCCAAATCATCATTGAATTATTCCAACCCTTCTCGTAAAACCAATCTTTCCCTTTTTTTTTTTTTTTTTTTTTTTTTTTTTGAGACGGAGTCTCGCTCTGTCACCCAGGCTGGAGTGCAGTAGTGGGGCGATCTCGGCTCACTGCAAGCTCCGCCTCCCGGGTTCACGCCATTCTCCTGCCTCAGCCTCCCCAGTGGCTGGGACTACAGGCGTCTGCCACCACACCCGGCTAATTTTTTGTACTTTTAGTAGAGACAGGGTTTCACTGTGTTAGCCAGGATGGTCTCGATCTCCTGACTTTGTGATCCGCCCCCCTCAGCCTCCCAAAGTGCTGGGATTATAGGCGTGAGCCACTGCGCCAGGCCTGGGGTTTCTTATACAGTAAGAACATGTGTTAAGATTGTATTCTTTGCATTTTTCCATCTTTTTTTTCATACAAACTTTCTTCAAGTCAGTTAGAGGCATTCACATTGGCTAAGGGAAAAGTGGTACTGTTTTAGGCAGAGTAAAAAGAGGAAAAACATTTTTTTCTTAAAAAATATGGTCACTGTATATCAAAAAGAATGTTAGAGGAAAGTAGAAAATAAAGTTTATGCAAAAATTGTCGAATTCCAGTGAAAACGAAAAAGATTCACCCACTCTATTTAATGGACTAGGAAATAAGTGGATGATTACCAGGGTTGGGACAGAAAACAGATATAGGAATATGATCTGGAGGCAGGAGTGTTGGCTACGAAAAATGAGTGCATTTGGCATTGGGAGGAGGAGTGAGTTGGCCTCAGAAATTAACTGTCCCTCAGCCTATCAGTGCTGGGGAATCACATGGAAGCTAGGCCAATATTTTTTTGTGCCATTATGTCATTGCTTGTTAGCTTTGTAAGACTAATTGTTGTGGGGTGTGAGCTCAGGATTGAAAGTTGTCTGCAAATCACCATTACATCATCCAGAAGAACAATCACTTAGTCTGGAACACTTGGCTAACCCTCATCTGAATTGCTCTGTTTTTCTAATAATTCAGGATATTTGTAAGAACCTCTAACAAATGATTGAAAGATTTCCGTAAAAAAGGTGGTGGCAGTGTAGAAAGAAAATCTTAGTATTTATGCTTGGGCAAGTTGGGATAATATCCTCCTGCACATGGACTGTGAAACAAGCATCATTAGCTTGTGAATCTTGTGCAACTAAGTTTTATTGCGGACAAAATAGCACCCCTAAACGAGAAGCAATAATCTCTTTTTCTCTTTTATTGTCGTATCATTTTTTTCAGGGGATCCTGAAAGACTTAGGCTTCTCCTGAAATATTGATAGTAGGAATAACTACTAGCTAAGAGTGTACAGGTGGAGGTTAGAGACTTCCTTAAAATCAAACTAGATAAATGTGAAACTTTTCTAAAAAGTGAAATCTATTGAAACAAATAAACAAGCAAGTAAACTAGCTCTCTTGGGAATATCTGCTGTGCTATGTGTGCCAAATAAATTGTGGTTCTAATGCAACTTCATGCGTTTATATGCCTGGCCATTAACCCTTTATGAGTCCTTATTTCTGAATGGAGAGGGAGAGACATAGAAAATCATCCTTAAACTTGTCCCTACCCTCTAGCAACATCACACAATCCTCTTTAAATCCTCTTCATTCCCTGAGAAGGGAAAGAAAATCTACATTTAACTTATTAAATTTAACGGTAGACCTCTGCTCAGTGTCAAACATATTTTCTGACCAAGGAGTAAATATGATTTCATCATGAGGACATTATTTTGAGGAAATCATTTTTCCTATTACTGAAAAAAATGTGTTGATGTTAGAAAAAACTCTTCAATGCCAGGTGAAATGGTTTTGAACAACGGCTAGCGCGAATGAAAAAAAAAAAAGATGTTACTTGAATGAAAAGTCAATTTAAGAAACAGAGTACACTGTTGAAATGCTAGAATGGCTCAGCCTTTGAGATGATTAGTACCCTCAAATGAAACTGGTTTCCAGTGATCAAGTTCGAATGTGTGAGTAGCCTTGAGTAAGTTTCCATGTATAGAATTAGAGAGTAATACTGCCTTACTTCTAAATCCTTACCAGAAGGCAAGGAAACTGCACATATGTGATTAGGCTAGATAATCTCATGAGAAAGCACAGAGCAGAAGATGAGTAGACAGATAAGTACTCTGGAACTTCAGTTTAGTCTGGCCTTCACATTATGTTTACCTGGACAGCAAGTCTCCTTGTGGAACTCCTGCCCTCCCGTACTTTGTTGTTATTAATAGTGGTGTTGAAAGTGAATAAAGATGGTGCTTGTAATCATTTTGCATGTGGAGATCAGTCTGGTTTTACTAGTTTTATCTGATTGCTAACGTTGAATAAGAGATACCAATACAAGCAAGAATAAAAACAGTAATAGAAGCTTCTCCTACAAAACAATATGCCAAACTTCAAAAATGTTTTCGTTGTGAAAGACAAAGGAAGGTTTTGGAGCTCTTCCAGATTAAAAGAGACCAAAATGACATGGCAACTCATAGCAACATAAGAGCCTGAACTGGGTCTAGATCAGGGGAAAATGCCATTAATGATGTTATCAGGATAACTGTCTATAACCTGAATGAAGAAAGCATATTAGACAATATAATTTTATCAATGTTTAGTTTCCTTAGTTTGATAATGTTAGAGAATGTATTCTTGAC